>NW_003315969.2:0-74653 GCF_000001405.40 Homo sapiens
TTGTAAATTTGAGATACAAAGCCATACTTTTTCACAATAAGCCTGTAAGTGAGAATCTGGAAAATCATGATTTTCTCATTAATTCCATAAAATAAAATAGCATTTGCAGGAGAATAACTCAGACCATAGAATATTATACTGGATCCACTTTCCTAAAGACAAAATAACCGCTTAAAATTTTTTAAACTGAGGTTTTGAGAGACGTAAGAGATGTCTGTACAATATACCTGCCTCATTATTCTAAGGAGTCTTCATCTAGTATCAGATAAGGCTGCTGAATGGGAGTAATACTAATATTAAATTTAGGGCATTCCTAAAAGTTCTCTAAGAATAAAATCCACTGTGGAAATACCACCAAAGAAATCGCAAATCTGTCTCTACAAAATACAAGAATTTGCACAACACTCCTTCAAACAGAAATAAACCTGTGTCTTAGGCTAAAATGAGAAACCTTCTTTCTCTGTTCAACAGCAGTCTGCACACAAGTAGGAAAACTGTGAGAGAATCTAGTCATTGCAGCAGAAATGTTCCAGTGGCAACAATTCTGTCTTCTTATAAAATACATTTACAAAGCATCTGTGTTACAATTAAATAACAGAACTGTACTGCTACTCAATAAGGGCCCTTGACAACCACAGGGTCCACTGAATGAGTTCAGAAGATATACAGCAAATCACTGTGAGAAAGAGCTTTCATTTTGTCATTTCAAAAGAATTCAATTAGTTTGGTACTTACTTTCAGCTGATGAGTTGAGTTCTGTCTTAATCTTCGATTTTTCAAGATCTTCTTTATATTCCTTCTTGAGCAATTTTACTATCTTTTTGCTATAACTTGATTTCTTCACTTTGAAAACTTCTTCATTTTCTTAAAAAGGAAATTAAATGAAGTCTGTAGCAACTATTTTCTGAAAATATTTTCCCTTCTTTCACATGATCTTACGTGCTGTCCAAATTATCCCAAATATATATACTCATATGCCAAAATCATTGTATAATTATTTCAAGTCTGTCACAGACTCAAAAACAGAGGTCAACTTCCTAAATTACTGTGAAGTAATGAGATTTTTGAGACTTTTTAAAGGAATAGCACATGTAACTTCACAAAATTTTCCTATTATTGTCGTCCTTAAATCATCTATTTGAGAGGGGAAAAAATCATTCAAAATGTTTCTGAAAAACCACATCACCAAGTTATTAACGAATCCGAAACAAAATATCTAAAATAAAAAGGTGCTGTCAATTCTGAGTAACTACATCCACCACAAGCTGACATAGTGGTTTTAAAGCTAAGGTAAGGGCAAATCACTTTTCTTTGATTTGAAATTTTAAAAGTACTAAATACTTAAAAAAAAATAGCTCATGTATCTCAAAAACAAAAATCTGTCTGTACTCCTCTCAAACCAAATAAAGAGTAACAGAAATGCCAAAGATAAACTACCTACCTTACTGGAAACCTCTCGAATAAAAATGCAAGATTTACAAAACTTAATTTCTTTTTTCGTAACATGGAATTAACTGGGTTATGCACATTCAAATGGTCAGAAGAAAAGATTTAAGGCTCATTTAAGATCAGCAATCTAAAACCACTGCAGCCTGGCCTCCCACAGGAATTGGAGAAACTACCTTGCTTTTACTATTTTTACACCGTCTCGCTTCACTGTTCCCAAAGTCAGTGCGAAGAAGGCTGGGTATCTGCTACCCCTAATTACTTTTATGGGTAAACTGAGGCTCAGCGACTGCAAGGGACTGGCCCAAGGTCACTCAGAACCAGAGCTGCAACTCCAGGCTTCTGTTCCCTCTCCTAGTATTCCTTTTTACAAACTCGGCCTTCATGGTCGAGGATGCCTGGACAGAGCATCCAAGAAGTGTGGGCGCAGTGACCTGCAGAGGGCTCGGAAAGCATGCCAAGAGCAGCCAGGGGACCCACACCAAGTTGGCCCTGAAACACGCCAGGCAGAAAAGAGGCAGGACAGGGAACACCGAATTTCCCCTGAAACACTCTGAATGCCTGATCTGAGCTCCGGCCCCGTGGCAGAGGAGGTGGTTAAGAAAAGGCTGGGGGCAGCGCGGGAACGCGTCCCTTGCCCGAGCAGAAGGCCGGAGGCTGGGGAAGATTCGCAGCCGGTCGGACGGCAGGGGACTCCGTTCCAGGGCTCCGGGGCTGGGCGTCCAGAGAATACGGGGGCGGGGGACGGGGGCCTGCGTCGGGGATGCGGCCGTCTAAGGGCGTCCGAAGCGCGCACTTTACCTTCCTCCTCGTCCTGGAAGCTGAGCAGGCTGGCCCGGGGCACCTCTTTGTTCTCGCGAGGCCTCTTGCGCGGCTTCAGCCCGTTGCCGGGCTCCGCGCCGCCGGGGAAGCCGCCCCCGGCCTCAGCCCCGAGGCCCGGGGTCAGCGCGGAAGGCGGCGACGGCCCCGGGCCCAGCAGCGACTCCCCGCCAGGGGCCCTGTCGCCGCCACCGGGGCCCGCCTCTTCGCCCGTGCCCGGCGGCGGCAACAACGGCGGCGGCTCCTGCTCCTCATCGCGTTCCCGCTCTTCCTCTTCGGAGTCGTTCCGCTTGCGCACGTTCACCCGCCGGGCCTTTCGGAACATCCCCGCGGCCCGCACGGCGGTCGAATACTCGCTTCCACACCGCGGCCCCGGCAGCGCCGAGCTCGTGACGGCGCACGCGCGCTCTCCGGAGCTCCAGCCGGGTCGAGTCCTCTGTTGCTACCGCGCACCCCACGAGCGCGCATGCGCCTATGCTCCCACGCGCTCTCAATACTTGGAGAAAGAGAGAGAGTGAGAGAGAGAGAGAGAGAGAGAGAGAGAGAGAGAGAGAGAGAGAGAGAGAGAGAGAGAGAGAGAGAGAGAGAGAGAGAGAGAGAGAGAGCGAGAGAGAGAGAGAGAGAGAGAGCGAGAGAGAGAGAGAGAGCCCCACACCTCTCGCGAGAGCGTCGGCTCTTTGCATCGCTCTCTGTCGGAGTGGAGTACTATTAGCATGGAACTCTGGTGTTGTTTGACAGGTCACAAAGAGGATCATAGAGATGAGAAGAAAGAGTAGGCTCTGTTGTCCCTCAGACGGCGCTGCTGCAGTGCGTCTTCGCACTTACGCGGAGCGGTAATGTGAGGAAGCCTCCCGCCAAACAGATGAGGGAGGAGGAGGAGGGGAGAGGCCAGAGAGAGAAGCGGCTTTCGGGAAGGAAAGTGTGATCTAGTAGGTGGAATAGTCCTCTCCAAACTTTGACCTGAGGTGTGACTATTGGTAATTACTAGTTATTCTTGAGTAATACTTTGTATTTCTACAGCTTTATAGCTACAGAGCTCTTAGAAAGACATTGAATTTTATTTATGATACAATGTTACTTCAAAGACATTGAATTTCATTTATGGTACAATGTTACTTCAAAGACATTGAATTTCAGTTATGATACAATGTTACCTGGCTTGATGTCCCCCGTTCCCCAGTCTTTCAGGAACAAGGAAAGCAAAAGTGTTTCCGTGTTTTCTAAAGAATGCCAAGTTTGCAAGCAATTCTATGACTAAATACTTTCCAAAGCTTAGTGAGTTTCAGAAACAAGTGGAAGGAAAATAGAGCAGGGGGTGGGGAAGGTTGTGACAGTTCTCAGACTTGCGTGACAAAGCCCTCGCTGGCCACACCTTCACAGGGTGATTGCGCCTAAGGTTGAACTCACCGGCTTTCCCTATCTCATCACCGAACTAGAAGTTTTTCCTTCGGGCATGCACCTGTGCATGCGAATTCATTTTGATGTTTCGAAATTAAAAGGGTATTCGGTAGAGTGAAAAAAATCCACCCATGTCTGGAAGGCTGTTCACTTCCTCAGTGGCAATGTTAACAGTTTCTTATGATCCTCTAAAGATGTTCCATGAACATAAAAGCAAATAAATATGCATATTTTAATGTGTTCCCCTTTTTACACAGATGGTGTGTAAGCTGCATTTTTAGCCTACCGTAGATTGGAGATCGGCCCATATCTGTATATGAAGGGTTGTGTTTTTTTGGTTTTTTGTTTGTTTGTTTTGAGACTAAATTTCGCTCTTGTCGCCCAGGCTAGAGTGCAATGGCGCGATCTCCGCTCACTGCAATCTCCGCCTCCCAGGTTCAAGTGATTCTTCTGCCTCAGCCTCCCTAGTAGCTGGGATTACAGGCACGTGCCACCACGCCCAGCTAATTTATTTTGTATTTTTGTATTTCACTCTGTTGGCCAGGATGATCTCAATCTCTTGACTTCGTGATCCGCCCGCCTCAGTCTCCCAAAGTGCTGGGATTACAGGCGTGAGCCACCGCGCACGGCCGTCTATTTTTTTTTTTAACCCACCTGCGTAGTGATTCATTGTTGGGATATACCGTAATTTATTTAACCAGTTCCATAAACATTGATATTTAGATTATTTCTAGTCTTAATCAGTGCTGTAATGAAAAGCTTTGAAAAACTGTTACATCTGTAGGATGAAATAGAATTGAAATTGCTAGATCTCAATATATGCATTTATGATTTTGCTAATTCTAAATTTCTTTTTATAGAAGTTATGCAGTTTGCACTTATATCAGCAAACATTAGGATGCCTGTTTGCCCACACCATCCTGTAGAAATTTCAGTAAGATTTAAATTCCAGGTTGAAGTGGAAGATCCCGAGCACTCCAAGCATTTCTTTTTATTTTATTTATTTATTTATTTATTATTTGTTTGAGACGGAGTCTTGCTCTATGGCCCAGACTGGAGTGCGGTGGCACGATCTCAGCTCACTGCAACTTCTGTCTCCCATGTTCAAGCTATTGTCATGTCTCAGCCTCCCGGGTAGCTGGGATTACAGGCATCTGGCACCACACCCGGCTAATTTTTGTATTTTTGTTTTGTTTTGTTTTGTTTTTTAAGACGGAGTCTTGCTCTTCTCGCCCAGGCTGGAGTACAATGGCACGATCTCAGCTCACTGCAACCTCTGCCTCCTGTGTTCAAACGATTCTCTTGCCTCAGCCTCCCGAGTAGCTGGGATTACAGGCACCTGGCACCACACCTGGCTAATTTTTGTATTTTTAGTAGAGACGGGGTTTTGCCACGTTGGCCAGGCTGGTCTCAAACTTCTGACCTTGTGATCCGCCTGCCTCGGCCTTCTGAAGTGCTGGGATTAAGGCATGAGCCACCACACCCGGCCTAATTTTTATATTTTTAATTAGATTTGACATGTGCACAACTAGGACTCAGTTTTGGAGCTAAGAGCATCCTCTATAACATTAACATTTTCTTCTAGTTAATAGGAAGGGTTAATAACATCTGGCTTCCATTCTACTTATGTTACTCTCAGTTCTTATATTCTGGCTGTTCAGCATTGGTGTAAGTTCTGATTCCAACAGTGTTTCACTAGTGAAATTGAACTCCCTTTTCTAATCATAGAAGATTCAAATTGTGCCTGATCAGCCTCCAGACACCTGAGCCAAGAGAAAGATTTGCAGTAAAATAATTAGGGTAGAGGTAGCAAAGACAAGGTCCAGAAGCCAAATATGTTATTATGGTGGCCTGAAATTTCAAAAATTTCTCCCAGTGTAAAAGTGGTGATTGGATATGGATAGAGGGAAGAGTACCTCTCATTTTAAAGTAAGCCACAATACAATCACTTGTCACTTGACGGGGATACATTCTGAGAAATATGCCATTAGGCAATTTCATCACATACTTACACAAACCTAGTGGTGTAGCCTACTACATACCTAGGCTGTATGGCATAGCTTATTGCTTCTAGGCTACAAACCTATACGGCATGTTACTGTACTGAATACTGTAGCACTTGTAACACAATGGTATCTGTATCTAAACATAGAAAAGATACAGTAAAAATACAGCATAAAAGCTTTAAAAATGGTGCACCTGTATAGGACACTTACCAGGAATGGAGCTTACAGGACTGGAGGTTGCTCTGGGTGAGTCAGTGAGTGAGTGGTAAGTGAATATGAAGGCCTAGGTTATTACTGTACACTGCTGTAGATTTTATAAACAACTGTACACTTAGGCTACACTAAATGTTTAAACATATTTCTTTCTTCAATAATAAATAGCTTACTATAACTTTTTTACTTTATAAGCTTTCTTATTTTTTAAAACTTTTTTGTTGTTATTGTTTTGTTTTGTTTTTGTTTTTTGAGATGGAGTCTCACTCTGTCACCCAGTCTGGAGTGCAGTGGCGCGATCTCAGCTCACTGCAACCTCCACCTCCCAGGTTCAAGCAATGAGACAGAGTCTCACTCTATCCCCAGGCTGGAGTGCAGTGGCGTGATCTCAGCTCACTGCAACCTCTGCCTCCCAGGTTCAAGCAATCCTCCCACCTCAGCTTCCCAAGTAGCTGGGATTATAAGCGTGCACCACCATGCCCAGTTAATGTTTGTATTTTTAGTAGAGATGATCCGCACACCCCACAAGCTCCTGTGTTGGCCAGGCTGGTCTTGAACTCCTGACCTCAAGTAATCTGCCCACCTCGGCCTCCCAAAGTTCTGGGATTGCAGGCATGAGCCAACGTGCCCAGACATTTTTTAAAACTTCTTGACTTTTTTTTTTTTTTTTTTGAGACAGAGTTTTGCTCTTGTTGCCCAGGCTGGAGTGCAGTAGTGCAACCTCAGCTCACCGCAACCTCTGCATCCAGGGTTCAAGAAGTTCTCCTGCCTCAGCCTCCTGAGTAGCCGGGATTACAGGCATGCACCACCACGCCCAACTAATTTTGTATTTTTAGTAAAGACAAGGTTTCTCCATGTTGGTCAAGGCAGTCGCAAACTCCCGACCTCAGGTCGTCCACCTGCCTCAGCCTCCCAAAGTATTGGGATTACAGGCGTGAGCCATCGTGCCCGGCATAACACTTTGCTTAAAAAAATACACATTTACAGCTGCACAAAAATATCTTCTATTTTTACCATTTTAATTATTTTGTTTTACTTTTTAAACTTTAAAGCTAAGACACAAACACACACATCAGCCTAGGCCTACGCAAGGTCAGGATTATCAGTGTCACTGTCTTCCACTTCCACATCTTGTCCCACTGGAAGGTCTTCAGGAAAAATAACAAACATGGAGCTATCATGTCCTATAAAAACAATATCTTTTTCTGGAATACCTCCTGAAGGACCTGCCTGAGGCTCTTATATACTTAACTTTTTTTTTTGTAAGTAAAAAGAGTGCGCTCTAAAATAACAGTAAAAAGTATAGTATAGGCGTCCCCAACCACCTCCCACCCCTGCAGGAGGCAAGTGGCCAAAGGTAGACATTGTTCTCTCTCTTTTTTTAAGTTTATTTTTAAAATGTTAGAAGCCACAAAGCCAATAAATATGTAAAAAATATTCTATATACATTAGCTGATGTCTTAGTCCATTTGGGCTGCTACAACAAAATACCATTAATTGGGTGACTTATAAACAACAAATTTATTTCTCACAGCTCTGGATGCTGGGAAATCCAAGGTTAAGGCACTGGCAGATTTGTGTTCCGGTGAGGGTCTGCTTCCTGGTTCATAGATGGTACCTTCTAGCTGAGTCCTCACATGGTGGAAGGGAGACAACTGTGGTTTCTTCAGCTTCTTACCAGGGCACTAATCCCATTCATAAGGGCTCCACCTTTGTGACCTAGTCACATTCCAGCATCTCTACCTCCTCTGCTATCACACTGGGGATTAGTGTTTCAATATATACATTTGGGGGGAAGATAAATAGCTGGGCCTTAACAACTGATGAGGCCTCACTAAATATGCGAGAAATAAGATAAAGCAGGGGTCCCCAACCTCCAGGCCACAGACTGGTACCAGTCAGTGGCCTGTTAGGAACCGAGCTGCACAAGAGGAGGTGAGCGGCGGGTGAGCAAACAAAGCTTCATCTGTATTTGCAGCCACTCTGCATCACTCGCATTACCACCTGAGCTCTGTCTCCTGTCAGATCTGCAGCAGCATTGGATTCTTACAGGAACACGAACCCTATTGTGAACTCTGCACATGAGGGATCTAGCTTGTGCACTCCTTATGAGAATCTAATGCCTGATGACCTGTCACTGTCTCCCATCACCCCCAGATGGGACCATCTGGTTGCAGGAAAACAAGCTGAGGGCTCCAACTGATTCTACATTATGGTGAATTGTATAATTATTTCATTATATATTACAATGTAATTGTAATAGAAATAAAGTACACAGTAAATGTAATGCATTTGAATCATCCTCAAACCATCCTCCACCCCCTAGTTCATGGAAAAATTGTCTTCTATGAAACCAGTCCCTGGTGTCAAAAAGGTTGGGGACTACTGGTATAGCAAATACATAAACCAGTAACATAGTCATTTAT
Source organism: Homo sapiens (assembly GCF_000001405.40). Taxonomy (NCBI): domain Eukaryota; kingdom Metazoa; phylum Chordata; class Mammalia; order Primates; family Hominidae; genus Homo; species Homo sapiens. The sequence continues at coordinate 8,309 of NW_003315969.2, forward strand.
TATCATTATGGAGTTTTATGTGGTATATGTAATTGTATGTGCTATACTTTTATACCACTGAAACAGAGGTTTCTTAATACCAGCATCACCACACACATGAGTAATGTATTGTGCTACAGTATTATGATTGCTATGATGTCACTAGATGATAGGAATTTTTCAGCTCCATTGCAATCTTTTTTTTTTTTTTTTTTTGAAACAGAGTGTAGCTCTGTTGCCCAGGCTAGAGTGCAGTGGTGCAATCTCTGCCTCCAAGTTCAAGCGATTCTTGTGCCTCAGCCTCCTGAGGAGCTGGGATTACAGGCACGTGCCACCACACATGACTATTTTTGGAATTTTTAGTAGAGACGAGCTTTCACCATTTGGCCAAGCTGGTCTCGAACTCCTGACCTCAGGTCATCCGCCTGCCTCACCCTCCCAAAGTGCTGAGATTACTGGCATGAGCCACGGCGCCTGGCCGCATTGCAATCTTATGGGACCACCACCATATATGCAGTCCATCATTGATCAAAACATCATTATGCAGTGCATGGTTGTATTCAGATACAACAGATTTATTTATAACTTTGCCAGTCTACCTATTTATATAGTTAAAGAGCAAAGTTAAACATTTAAAAGTTATCTTACTGCCCAAGCAAGCCAAAGGTTCTTCTATCAGAAGTTATAGAGATTGTGGAAATTAAATTCCTGAAATTGAATAGCTACCTTAACTGCCTGTCAGCTGGTATATTATCAGAAACTAATTACTTGATAAAGTACTTCTGTACTTTGAGTATCAAATATACTAATTTGTTTGTTGATATAGTATGTCATCACCATTTAATATTGCAATGCTTTTAGTATCCTGGGAAGACAAAGAACTAATACATCAACCATTTTGTTTCAATCAATAAATTGTTCCTTTAAAAAAAGTCATCTTTCCAAGCAATAATTCTGGTTAGTATTTTTCCCATGAAATTGTGACTTTACATGGATTAATTGACACACAGATTCAGACAAAATAGGCAATAAGCAGTTTGGTTTGCCAACTCAGTCCTAAACCATGCAGTCTGGAACAATGACTACCAAATTCAGGTCTGTGAACTTGTGAAAAGTTTTCCCTACTCAGCTGCCAAAATAAAAGAGGAAGGACAGTCTGTGTGTATAGAGTAACCAGATGTCCTTTCTTGGAAGAAATAGTCCTTTATTCTGAAATTATGTGCCTTTTTTTCTCTTTCATGTTAAGATGAGAAAATTTCTTTATTTCTATAAACAATGATGCTAATATATGGTAGTCTGTGAGTTTATCTTCATACCCTTACTTGGAAAACTGAAATGTAGTAAAAGCTATAGGCCCTCCTCAATTTTTTATTTTATCTTTAAAAAATTTTATCTGGTAGGTGAAATATAACAGCCTAGGAGTCCCTGATCTAGGATTTTCCTTTTTTTAAAAAAACTATAACTCTGGACATCTCAATAATTCTATTCTGGAAAAAGGCTGAAGAAATAATGTAATAATTTTTTAGATTGATTTAGACCTTACTTTGATGAAGGCAGTTCTGCAGTAACTTAAAGTAGAATGTCAACTCATGGGTGCCACGGTTTGAATGTATCCCCCAAAATTCATGTGTTGGAAACTTAATTCCCAATGTAACAATGTTGAGAGGTGAGACATTAAGACATTAGGTCATGAAGGGTCTGCCCTCATGAATGGATTCATGTGGTGGTCGCTGGATTAGTGGGTTAGTTATCTTGGGATTGGCTTCCTCATAAAATGCATGAGTCCAGCCCCCTTTCTGTCTTGCTCTCTTGTACTCTCTTCCCCTGTCACGTACTGCCGTGGTATGTGGTGCAGCAAGAAGGCCTTCACCAGATGTGGCCCCTCAACCTTGAACTTTCCAGCTTCCAAAACGATAAGAACTAAATTTCTGTTCTTTATAAATTATCTAAGCTGTGGTATTTTGTTATAGCAACACAAAATGTACTAAGACAATAGGGGAAGAGATTTTTATGTTTTGTTCACTGCTGTTTTCACAGTATGTTCAATGGCTCTTGGCACAGAATAGACAATATTCGTTGACTGAATGCTATTGGACATTATCTGTTTATTGAATTAGTGATAAATATTTTACCCTACGTTGATATAAATGGACATATTCTACAGGTAACAACCCTTTATTTCTAAAGCATGATCTCAATGTATTATAAATTACTGAAGTAGATTAGTTCTTTTCTTTTTTTTTTTTTGAGACGGAGTCTCGCTGTGTCACCCAGGTTGGAGTGCAGTGGCGTGATCTCGTTTCACTGCAACCTCCGCCTCCCAGGTTCAAGTGATTCTCCCGCCTCAGCCTCCCGAGTAGCTGGGATTACAGGCATACACCACCCGCCCAGCGAATGTTTGTAGAGACGGGGTCTCGCTGTGTTGCCAGGCTGGTCATTAACTCCTGACCTCAGGTGATCCACCCACCTCGGCCTCCCAAAGTGCTGGGATTACAGGCGTGAACCACCTCGCCCGGCCGATTAGTTCTTAAAGTAGTAATAGACATCTCCCCTCCACCTTTGGGAACTGCCTCCTCTAGGGAGAAGAGTACCCCGTGAGTTAGGAAGCCAGGTGATATGGTTTGAATATTTGTTCTCTCCAAATCTCACGTGGCAATGTGACCTCCTGTGTTGGAGGTAGGGCCTGGTGAGAGGTGTTTGGATCATGGGGCAGATGCCTCCTGAATGGCTTGGTGTCATCCTGTAACAAGTGTATTCTTGCCCTATTTGTTCCCATGAGAACCTACTGTTTAAAAGAGTCTGGTACTTCCTCTTCTCGCTCTCTCTCTCTCTCGCTTCTGTCTCACCATGTGACATGCTGGCTTTCCTTCACCTTCTGCCATGAGTAGAAGGTTCCTGGGGCCCTCACCAGAAAAAAATGCTGGTGCCATGCTTCTTGTACAGCCTGTGGGACCATGAGCCAAATAAACCTCTTTTCTTTATAAATTACCCTAGCCTCAGGTATTTCTTTGTATCAACAACAACAACAAGGGCACACACCCAAAAAGAAAAAAAAAAAAAAAAGAAATGGACTAAGACACCAAGTTACATTGTACTGGCTGATGCAAAGTGGGCTGATCAGAATCTCCCGAGATTTTGCCCTTGAAACAGAGACAGTGAGTCCCTGCTTATGGCTGGAATTGCAATGAACTCAAAAGCAGTAGGAAAGCCTTAAATTACATGTCAACTCAGGAGCCAAGAAAACTAGTCAATGTAGCGAGAGAGAAGAATGAGGACAGAAAGGATACTCTGAGGGCTTCTGGTACCTTCCCAGGTCCTTGACTCTTCCAGAAGCTGGACTGCACGCCATGTGTGAGTTCCCTTGATCTTCTTGGAATCCTTATAATAAATTTCCTTTTTGTTATTGTTGGTATTAATGATGTTTTATTGTGTTACGTATATTTGCTTAAAGAGTTATTTTCATTTTATAGTAGGGTAAATTTTATCTGTGTACCTTATACAATTGTTTTTAAAAGTTCACTTGCTTAATAACTCTTCACCTATAGCTTTTGTTCAACAGAGTTTTTCTCTTATTTCTTTCTTTTTAAAAACTATGCACACATACATCCTCACAAGCAGGCATTTAAGCAGCAAGTAACAGTGAGGAATGCTCTCTCTCCTGCAGGCACATAGTTATTGCAAGTAACTTGCTAATAGAGATAAGTACCTCTGTTTAGAGCATATAAATGGTCCTAGTTAAAATTGTTAGTAAATTTATACTTTGTATCAAACTCTATTAAAATGTAGCCATTGGTTCTAATTGAATGAGATCATTGTTTCTACTAAAACTTTGACTCAATCCAGGTTTAAAAGACCCCAAGGTTTTATTTATTTATTTTTTTAAATAAAGTTGTTACTTTAAAAATTATTGGCCACATTAGTATCCCCAGTGGAGATTCAACTCTTATAAATGTATTCCACTCATGAGTGTTTTGGCAATTCAGCTATAATGGTCATTTCTTCATTTTCCAAAATGACACTTTCTTCAACCAAAAGAAAGTGAAATTTCTCTTTATCCAAACTAAGGCCTTCACCAGATGTGACCCCTCAACCTTGGAACAAAAGTAAATGTTTTAATGAAGGTTACCTTGTTCATCCTAGTTTATTTTTAAGATGTATCTTCTATTTAGACCAGGTATTTCTCTTACCCATTCATTCAACAAAATTTATTGAACATGTTTGATGCTCTAGGCATTGTGCTAGGCAGTAGGGACACAACAGTGAATAAGACAGATGTTTTCTTTGTCCTAGAACTGTAGTCAGCTGCTAGAGATGTAAAAAGTCAATAAACAAATTAATTGCTAATTGTGATTATAATTGTGAACGAAATCAATAGGGTACTACATCTTAAGAACTGATATAAAATGATAGAAATTTCAGTTTGAGTTTATTTTTTCTATGTGCTGTAGGGGACAGGAAACATTCTCTTTACCCTCTGAAGGACTGAAGTAAATAGATAGTAGACAGAGTAACAGGAAAAAAAGGCACACAAATTTATTATATGCACAGGGGCATCATAGGAAAAAGTGAGTACCCTATAACCGAATGATATTGAGAAGCTTATATACCTTCTTCAAAGGGGAGAGACAGGGAAGGATGTAGGCAGCTTAAGGTTGAGAAAATAATTTGGGGAAAAGATGAATAGGTGTTAGAGCCTGTGCCAAGTCTCTCTGGGCATGATGTTGACCTTCAGTCTCTTCTCTTGGGTTGCAGTTGATCTTCCTTGGTTGAAGAGATTCCTGGGGAGGAGACTCATGACAATTGAGTTTCTTTTTGGAGGATCTATCTTTAGGCAGGTATGAGAAGTTCAGAGAGCCTCTCCCTGTGCTTTGGGAAAGAAAGAGGGGCCAGAGACAGGAGGGCAGGAGAAGGTCAGAGAGACCCTGGTTCTGAGGCTCCTTCTGTGGTTTTCCAATCTCCTTTAGTTCAAAGTACTCAGCATGCTAAAGTGGCATGCTTTGTGGTATTGTGAGCCCTAACAGTGCCAATGGCCAGTTAAGTATCTTTATCATTAGAAAATGTGTAAGGACTTTGGGGGCTGAGGCAGAACATTTTCCTGCAAGATAATTACAATGAACAGCTCCAAGGTGTCTTCAGTAGTAAACTTTTCTTCAAACATTTCATGTAAAATGGGCATTTGAAATCATTTTGTTCAGTTCAGTATTTTATATCTTCTAGTGTTACTATGTGAAAGAGTATTATTCAGAACCATAGTAGAACAAGATATTTATATTACATTCACAATGGACACTTTATATCTGAGAATAGTGTGACCAATGAAAAAGCAAAAATACCAATCTATGCACCCTTTCTGAAAGAACCCGCTTACCACCTGTTGGGTCAGTATCATTCATACATTATTGTGCCTCTTGAAAAAAATTTGAAGCAGATATATTATGGAAGACGACAGTTATAAACATGCTCTCTGGGTATAAAGGATAGAAGAATTGATGTTTCTTTTTTTCTGTATTGTTTAGTGTTACTAGAGGGCAGCAAAGTCATACAATAAACATACAGTAAGCTTAGACTATGATTACCTAACAGAATCAGATGCAGCTTTGAATTTGTTAAAAACTACAGATGGACTTTGAAAAGTAACTTTTTCCTAATTATAAAAGTACTGCTTGCACATTTTAGAAATTCAGAAAATGCAAAACAATACAAAGAAGAAAATGAGAATAACTTATAAACTAATCATATGGTTTAAATCTTAAAAGGTATTAAATGTTAATTTTTGGTTCATTCCCTTCCTGATTGCTTGTGTTTAGTCATTCTCTGCTCAAAACACCTAGACTGTTTTCTGTTTTCTGCACAGATACAGCATCTATTTATCTACAGTAATGTTCTCTGTGTTTTTTAACTAAATGGTATCATGCTCTATGTGTTATTTTATAACTTGCTTTTTCCTTTTAGCTTGGGATTTGCAGCTCTTTTAAGTATGTTTAAATATACTTCATTCATTTTCCCAACTTTTTATTTTGGAAAAATTCAAATGATAAAAACAAGCAGGGCCGGGTGCGGTGGCTCATGCCTATAATCCCTGCACTTTGGGAGACCGAGGCGGGCGGATCATGAGGTCAGGAGTTCGAGACCAGCCTGGCCAACATGGTGAAACCCCGTCTCTACTAAAAATACAAAAAAGTTAGCTGGGTGTGGTGGTGCATGCCTGTAATCCCAGCTACTTGGGAGGCTGAGGCAGGAGAATCGCTTGAACCCAGGAGGCAGAGGTTGCAGTGAGCCGAGATCGTACCATTGCACTCCAGCCTGGTCGACAGAGCAAGACTCCGTCTCGGGGTAAAAACCAAAAAACAAAACACAAGCAGGAGGCTGGCATGGTAGCTCACGCCTGTAATCCCAGCACCTTGGCAGGTCCAGGCAGGAAGATTTCTTGAGGCCAGGAGATCGAGACTAGCCTGGGCAATATAGCTAGACCCCATCACTATAAAAAATTAAAAATAAAAAAATTAGCTGGGTATGGTGGCACACACATATAGTCCCAGCGACTCAAGAATCACTTGAGTCCAGGAATTAGATGTTACAGTGAACTGTGATCGCACTACTGCACTGCTTCCTGGGCAACAGAGAAAGACCCTCTCTCAACACACCAACACACATAACAGCAAGAATAATACAACGATTACCCACATATCCTTCACCTAGATTCATCACTGTTAATATTTTGCTACATTTGCTTTCTCTCTTTATCTTTGCTGAGTCATTTCAAAGTTACCTGCAGACATCCTGATACTGCAGCCCTAAATACTTCAGTGAGTATCCCCTAAGAACAAGGGCATTTCTCTACATACCCATAATACAGTTATCACACTCAGGAAGTTTTACATTAACATACTACTGTTATCTAACATCGAGTCCATATTCAAAATTCCCTCACTTATCCCAATAATGTCTTTCATAGCTGTTGTTTTATCCCCAATCTGGGATCTCGTAAAGATTGTGCATTGCATTTAGTTGTCATGGGTATTTAGTCTCCTTTATTCTAGAACAGTCTATCCGTTCTTTTTTTCTTCTTTTAACTTTCATTGACTCTTTTTTATTTTTTATTTTTTGAGACGGAGTCTCGCTCTGTCACCCAGGCTGGACTGCAGTGGCAAGATCTCGGCTCACTGCAACCTTCACCTCCCAGGTTGAAGCAATTTTCCTGCCTCAGCCTCCCAGGTAGCTGGAATTACAGGCATGCACCACCATGCCCGGCTGATTTTTGGTATTTTTAGTAGAGACGGGGTTTCGCTATGTTGGCAAGGCTGGTCTCGAGCTCCTGACCTCAGGTGATCCACCCACCTTGTCCTGGGATTACAGGTGTGAGCCACCACGCCTGGCCAACACTGACATTTTTGAAGCGTCCTCATCAGTTTTTTTTTTTTTCTTCTCCAGAATGACCCTCTATTTGGATTTGGATTACACAAAGTTTAACGTTTTTTGGAAAAATCCTACCTAGGTAATGTGTAGTTCTCAATGCATCATGTCAGGCAGCTTATGATGCCAATTTGTCCCATGGTAAGTTTTTTTTTTTTATCTCTATGGGTGCATAGTAGGTGTATGTGTTTGCGGGGTACATGAGATGTTTTGATACAGGTATGCAATGTGATCATGGAGACACATGGGGTATCCATTCCCACAAGCATTTATCATTTGTGTTACAAACAATCCAATTACACTCTTTTAGTTATTTTAAAATGTACAATTCAGTTATTGGCTATGGTCACCCCTGGTAAGTTTAATCACTCAGTTATGGACCTTTCTCCATTGTAAAGGTCCTACTTGTAGTTAATAAGTAATCTGTGGAATGATGATAATTTTAGACTGTGTAAATATTCCTCAGAATTTCAACCAATCATTTTAGCATCCATTAATGATTCTTTTCAGAATTCATGATTACTATAGCATTTGCAAAATGGTAATTTGGTATTACTCTCTATTACTCCTTCTAAATTTATTAGTTGCCAATGTTCTGTAAATCAGACTTTCTCTTCTTCTTTCCCACTTTTTATTTTTTTACTTTTTTTAGTGACAGTACAGACTCATGGAGTCTTTTTCAAATCAATATGCTAAAATCCATTTCTGTAATTGATCGTTTTGATGTTCATATTGTCCCTAATTTGGCCAGTAGAACTGTCTGCGATGGGTTCTGCATTCTCTTGCTACATCTCCATCAACTTTTTGACCTTATCTTACTTTCTGTCACAGTAAGATGTTTCAAGCTCACTTTATGTTTTTGTTTCTCCAGACCCCTGGAATCAGCCATTTCTTCAAAACCCTATTTTTTGTTTGTTTGTTTGTTTTAATGGGGAATGGTGTTGAGAAACCACAATTTAGGTGTCAGGTGTGTTCTTTGCCACAGGGGTGTCATTGCTTCTAGGCTTTCTCAGAGGATAAAGCTAAGACATATGTCTTAAAAAGCATGAGTTTGGCCAGGTGTAGTGGCTCACACCTGTAATCCCAGCACAACAAGGGAGGATTGCTTGAGCCTACGAGTTCGAGACCTGCCTGGGCAACATAGTGAGACCTTGTCTCTACAAGTAATTAAAAAAATTAGCCAGGCATAATGGCATACATCTGTAGTCCCAGCTACTTGGGAGGCTGAGGTGGGAGGATTGCTTGAGCCCAGGAGGTCGAGACTGCAGTGAGCTATTATCATACCACTGCAGCACTCCATGCTGGGTGACAGAGCAACACCCTGTCTCAAAAAAAAAGAAAAAAAAAGTGATGAGTTTGCACTGATACCTTTAATTCCAATCCAACATCCCAGGCTTCTGCTCCTTCCCTCACTTCATATTTCCTACCATTACAACTCTGGATGGACCTCCAAAAATTTGAGTGTATTTACTCTTTTGCACAATCCTACAAAGTGGTTTTAGAATTGTTGTACCAATATTATCACCACCAACAAGCCTACTAAAGTTTATAATTTCTTTGCATTTTTAAAAACTAACAGTGTTTTATTTCTTTCATAAAAAATCTTAAATGTGGCAAAATGTTCATATTTGTCAATTCTGGATGATAATTACATGAGTGTTAGTCATATTATTCATTCTTTTCTTTTTAAAAAATTCTTATTGAAGTATAGAATGCATACAGAAAAGTGCATTTATTGTACATGAAGAGCTAAATGAATTTTTACTAACTGGCATATGTGTATGTGTGTGTGTGGGGTGCTTCTCTATGTAGATATACAAAAATATAAATGTTGTTTTCTAGCTTGTGTAAATTTTAAGACACATTCCTAAATTGTACTTCAAAGTGACTGTACCAGTTTATTCTCTTAAATAGAGACTATTTGCCTACAGGCATGACAAAATGGAATATCAAATAACTTTACTTTTTGCCAATCTAGTGGATGAAATATTAGTTTCCTGTTGCATTTCTCTGGGTAGAGGTAATTTTTTTGTTGTTCAGTTATTGGCTACTTGTTTTCATCTTAAAGTGAATTGCATGCTTATTTCATCGTTTTTCTATTAGATTGTTAGTCTCTTTGTTTTCTACTTTAATACTATCTAATTTAACATTATGAGATTTGTCTTGGGGTAAGACTGTAACTTTAAGCAGTAAGCACTTGTTCCAGCATCATTTGTTTATTTATGTAAAAATGGGCTGGGCATGGTAGTTCATGCACTTTGTAATCTCAGCACTGCGGGAGGCTGGGGCGGGTGGATCGCTTGAGTCCAGGAGTTTAAAACCAACCTGGGCAACATGGCAAGACTCAGTCTCTCCAAAATTGCAAAATTAGCCAGACGTGGTGGTGTGCACCTGTAGTCCCAACTACTCAAGAGGCCTAGGTGGAAGGACCGCTTGAGCCCAGGAGGCAGAGGTTGCAGTGAGCCAAGATTACGGCACTGCACTCTAGCCTGGGTGACAGAGTGAGACCTTGTCTCAAAAAAATAAAAATAAAATATGTATGTAGAAATGCTCTTATTGGGTTTTCTCTATTATGAAAGTGATTTTGTGTGTTTTAAATTTTATTTGTATAAACTTATGGGGCATAAGTGCAATTTTGTTACATGGATATATTACATAATGGTGAAGTCAGGGTTTTTCGTGTGTCCATCACTGGAATAATGTACCTTGTGTCCATTAAGTAATTTCTCATCATCTACTCCCTGCTCTTTCAAGTCTTGATTATATGTTTATTCAAAAAATAAATATATCTCCCAGTAAATAAATATTTCTCCCAGATAGGTAGAAAATAAGAATTGCCCCCATACCATCACCACATATGATACTGTTTTTAGTGTGCGTCCTAGTCTGTTTTTTATTTTTTGTTGTTGTTTTGTGTGTGTGTGCTTCTAACACCCTCAATTGACTTAATTTCCCTTTCCATTTTTTTTAATGATTTTACTATTAGCAAGTACTTTTTTTTTTTTTTTTAGTTTAGGATCTGTCTTTGAGGCATCCTTCCTGCTGTATTTGTCTATCTATGGTGCCATTTATATTGTCTTACAATTGTCTTTAGGAGAAATGTACTCTCTGTAGAGCCAGCTCTCCCTCATTGCTTTCCTAGAGTCTGGGTAGGATAAACATGACCTTGTGCAACATTTTGAGTTGTGACTCTGTATTAGTTTGTTCTCACACTGCTAATAAAGACACACATGAGACTGGGTAATGTATAAAGGAAAGAGGTTTAATTGACTCACAGTTCCACATGGCTGAGGAGGCATCACAATCATGGCTGAAGGTGAATGAGGAGCAAAGTCACGTCTTATATGGTGGCAGGCAAGAGTGTGTGTGCAGGGGAACTCCCCTTAATAAAACCATCAGATCTTATAAGAACTCACTATCATGAGAACAGCATGGGAAAGACCCACTCCCATGATTCAATTACCTCTCACCAGGTACCTCCCACAACCTGTGGGAATTGTGGGAGCTACAATTCAAGATGAGATTTGGGTGTGGCACAGCCAAACCATATCAGACTCTGTTAAATGAAAAAGCCTCCGTACATCATTATTCTTGTAACAAATCACATCCAATTTACAAGTGTTCTGTAAATTCTGGAGAAACAGAGGCCCTGAAGTTATTCGTGAGCAAGTCTGGGAAATGGAAATGGAGGTTCCAATTCCTGTTTTTACTAATTTAATGTGTATAAAATGTTATCTATATCTTTTCTTCATTCCTTTGTTCCTTCCTTTCTTTTGAGGGACTTTCATAGGTTCATTCAAGAGTTTTAACCCCTAACTCATTTTTCTCACAAGGCCTTAAATTCCACAACCTCATCATCTACCACCTTTGGTGCTTTCAGAATCATGACTCTCAATGTTGAAGAATGGGCTACTGCATGGAAGGTGGGTGCAAACCCCTAAAATTTCCACCCCTGGTTCTGGAAAGTGAGAAATTGGGGATTTCAATACTGCAAGCCATCCTTCACATTCTAAACTCATTGTCTTTACTTAGTTCCGTCAGCATTTCTTTCTTCCAGTCAGTGGGGTATTGGCATGGACTTGTACTGGCTCATAAGAGCTGATTGGTAAGTTTTCAGGAATTTGCAAGCTGGTTGTTAAGCACAGTCATTATTGAAAGCAAATTATGTAAACTTACAATTAAATAAATTATATCAAAACCAAAAATAATAAATACTCAGAACTTATCACTTCCTAATTATTTTACTTCACTTTACTATTATTCATGCTTTTGGGGTTAGTTGTGCCTGTTGTATAGGTAGGGTGGAAATACTATATAATGCTGCCCTATTGTATGTCTTTTCTCAACTCCATGTTCTCTTGGTAGCATGAAATTGGGTTATGGTGGCAGTATTTACACCACTACATATCAGAGTGTGATTTATGATTTTGTTGAGTGTGATGGAGAAAATGTTAACGATGCAGATTAAACTTAAAAGTGTGTCATGTCCATAGCCCTTACATTGTGAATAGTCCCCATACATGAGAAAATATTCCTCCAGTATTTGAAAACTATTATTTGATTCAGCAAAGAAGTTGCTTTCATCACTGACTAGCAAGTGACATTCTCACATATATCTTTGTTGTTTAACTTTCCTCTTACTTCTAACATAAATGAAAATCTCAACCAATATTTATACCAAAACTATACATGCTCATCAGTTGCAACCCTAGGTTGGCTTTGTGTACAAGAGTTTGGCAAAAATCAAAGCATTCTTTGAGAACTAATGATGTACAAAGAGTATATAATAAAGAGTAATCTATAGTTTATTATCATTTGTAAATTGTGTGCTACACATTCTTTACATCCGTAAAATTGAAATAAACTATGTACATACATATCTGCGTACTTTTTTGAAGACTAAAGTGAAAGCAAGTTTATTAAGAAAGTAAAGGAATAAAAGAATGGCTACTCCATAGGCAGGGCAGCCCTGAGGGCTGCTGGTTGCCCATTTTTATGGTTATTTCTTGGTTATATGCTAAACAAGGGATGGGTTATTCATGAGTTTTCCGGAAATGGGTAGGGGGTGGGCAATTCCCAGAGCTGAGGATTCCTCCCCTTTCTAGACCATGTTGCCATGGCATTTGTAAACTGTCATGGCGCTGGTTGGAGTGTAGCAGTGAGGACGACCAGAGTTCACTTTCATCTCTATCTTGCTTTGGGTGGGTTATGGCTTCTTTACTGCAACCTGTTTTATCAGCAAGGTCTTTATGTCCTGCATTTTGTGCTGACCTCCTATCTTATCCTGTAACTAAGAATGCCTAACCTGCTGGGAATGCAGGCCAGCAGGCCTCAGCCTTATTTTACCCAGCCTCTAAACAAGATGGAGTCGCTCTGGTTTAAACGCCTCTGACATTTCCCCGCTCCCTTTTATAAGAGAACCCTTAATCCTAAGGGTCATAGAGAGATGAAGGTCCATCTTTTGTAACTTCTGGAGGCTGAATGAGGTGATGATATTCCTGCCTATCTATTAGGGTCTCAGATCCAGGGTAGAGAGGAGTTCAGTCAGAGAAAGTCCGTATGGTGAGGGCCATTCATAACTCTGACTAAAAGTGATATAACTAGTTTCCAGATTTTGGAGAAATTAGATAGAGAGAAACAAGCATGCTTCAAATTTTGTTCACAGGAGCGTAATTTATGCAATTGTTGAAAGCTGTCAATAGCTCAAAAGAAAGGTTTCCTTGACTCCAAAGTCAGCCAATCAGTGTTGGTCTATTTCCTTTGGGTCAGGGGTCTCCTTAGTATCATCCCTTTGTGGTTGCCATAAAGATGTTACCAGAAAGGGGTCCTAAACCAGACCCCAAAGAGGGTTCTTGGATCTCACATAAGAAAGAATTCAAGGCGAGTCCGTAGAGTAAAGTGAAAGCAAGTTTATTAACAAAGTAAAGGAATAAAAGCATGGCTACTGCATAGGCAGAGCAGCCCACCTCCCTTTTTTGTTGGAGAGCTGCTGGTTAAACTTTTGTTAGCACACCACTGGCCAGAGGCAATAAGCTACTAGCCCCAGGCCAGATGGCTACCATTAACATAGTTTGTTTGACCCACATGATATTATTTAAAACAAACAAACAAAAAAGCTGAATGGCAAGCCGACATTTACAAATTGTGAGAATTCACATAACAACCTGGAATTCCTCATTCTCTGAAGGATCAGATCTGGCCCCATCAGATTTTCCCATGGCAACACTCAGTTGGAGCTGAGCCACTGTAGAGCTTCAGGTGGGGCATGCACCCTTACTTAACCACCATCCCACCACTCCCTGTTGTCCCCCAAACCCTGCAGCTAAGTGCCAAATGCCATTAATCCCCATGCCTGCACTGTGGATTTTCTCTGCCCATTCTTCATCCCACAGCAGCACAAACTGAACCATATTTTTAGTCCAGAAATCTGAAACCTCAGGCTTGATTTATAACTAAATTAGCTTTCCTTTTCTGTTGGTTTAAGTCCCATTAACTCACAAGTATTTCTCAAAAGACTTACTTAAAACATATGTGAAAGGGCTTTGAAACTATTAAAAGCTACCAAATGGAAGATATTTATAGGAGGCATATACTTTCTATCATCATTTAATTTTATACTTTATTAATAAAAATTATTAAAATTCAATTTGTTATATTTTCAGTAACTAATGACAATGAATATATTACTAATCTTTTCACTTGTCTTTTCTTGCTTTCCTTTTTCCTCCTTTTTCCCCTTTTCCTTATTTTTTCTTTCACTTTAACATTATCTGCAGTACAATGTCAGTAATGAGGTCACATTTTTCTATTAAAATTCATACTTTGGTCTTTGTTTTGGCCTAATTTAAACACTGACATGGGCTCATGCTAATTAGCCTGAATGGCTAAATCCCCCACCAATTAAGCAAATGTAGAAATTGCAGATTATTTCAGTTACTCTATGTTAAGGTTAAGTGAAAAAAAAAAAAAAGTGATGTATGTGATCTAAAGTCATCAACCCCAGGATATCCTGTTAAGTCATGGACTATTTCTTATCATTATGGTATCATGAATGCAATAATGTTTCAAATTCATTCCACTCCAGGTTTAGACATTTGTATCACAATTGCAGTGGATTCTTTTTTCTTTTCTTTTTTTTTTTTTGAGATGGAGTTTTGCTCTTGTTGCCCAGGCTGGAGTGCAGTGGCGCAATCTTGGCTCACTGCAACCTCCGCCTCCCAGGTTCAAGTGACTCTCCTGCCTCAGCCTCCTGAGTAGCTGGGATTACAGGCATGCACCACCACGCCTGGCTTATTTTGTATTTTTAGTAGAGACAGGGTTTCTCCATGTTGGTCAGGCTGGTCTCGAACTCCCGACCTCAGGTGATCCGCCTGCCTCGGCCTCCCAAGCCATGGATTCTTTACAGTCCACTTTAATGGCAAGTTGCGTCTCTATGAGGGAAAATTTTCTTTGTACAATAATGAATCCATTTAATTTTTTCAAAAGTATGTTGCTTTGGTTCCTTTTATCAGCACACATAAAATCATTTTGTGTTAACCGTGTCATATAAAATGCCTTCACTTTGCAATCTTAACCTTCCAAATGGATTGAGCCTTAGATGTTTTTTTGTTAATTATCTGTTAATAATTTGAGCACTTTTAACAATAGAAATAATGTTGTAAGTGGTGAGTAAATTCCCAGGCTAGCCCCTAATGTAGTTAAACATAGCTTGAATGGTATTCATCTAAGTTCTGATTTTTGGAGCAAGAGGAAAAGGAGTAGGAGAAAGAAGATGAAAATGAGAAGAGAAATTGGTGAAATGGTATAGCAGGGGCAAAGACAGACCATGCAAAGAAAGAAAAGGAAAAGAATGTGAAAGGCTAGAAGTGAAGAACTTTCCTTGCAGTTAGGCTGTGCTCTAAGCAAAATTTTGAGATAGATGCAAATGTGTTTTGTGTCCTCCAATTTTCACTGCTGCATCCCTCTCTCTGGAACACTGGTCCCCCCATTTGATCCTAAGGTCTTACCCTATCCATGCCTGTGGTACCTCCACCCCAACAAACACAGTCTCCAACCTCTTATTTCTTGGTGCATCTATTCTTAGCAAGGTATTTAGAAAAGATCAGTTTAAGAGAACCTAATCATTTTATTATTATTATTTTTTTTTTTTTTGAGATGGAGTTTCGCTCTTGTTGCCCAGGCTGGAGTGCAATGGTGTGATCTCTGACTCTGTCACCCAGGCTGGAGTGTAGAGTGCAGTGGCACGATTTTGGCTCACTGCAACCTCCGCCTCCCAGGTTCAAGCGATTCTCCTGCTCAGCCTCCGAGTAGCTGGGATTACAGGCATGTGCCACCATGCCCGGCTAATTTTGTATTTTTAGTAGAGATGGGGTTTCTCCATGTTGGTCAGGCTGGTCTTGAACTCCCGACCTCAGGTGATCCGCCCGCCTCGGCCTCCCAAAGTGCTGGGATTACAGGTGTGAGCCACTGTGCCCGACCATTTTATAAAACTCATAGTCCCCAAACCTCTGAAATTGATTATTCTCTACTTAGGGGAATTCCAAGCAATTTCACAAAATGAAACAGAAAAAAATTAAGGCAGTATTTTGAAAGAAGATATGTTTCTTGGGGGTCACCTTCTAGGAGGAGCTCCACTAAGCAGTCTCTAGGGTGTATTGCTTTCTCCATTTCTGACGGGACATTTCCCTGCAGGCTTCTAGTTGCAGAGACCAAGCCTAGCTGGCTCCCAAGACATGTCCCTGGACGGAATCAAGTTGGTTTTTTGGTTTCTTTTTCTTTTGTTTTTCAAAAGTGTTCTCGCAGTTGGGCACAGAGCAGAACAGAGAGCTGGTTATTGGTATGTGTGGCTGTGTTGCAAATGGAGCCTGCGGAGAGAGGCACAGTTGTGGGTAGGGATACCTATCTCACGGCCTTATTTCCAGATTCCTTCTGCAAATTATTCATCATTTGCCAAAGTTCCAGGCAGCTGGACACAGTTATTATGCTAGTAAATAAATGTGACAACATAGCTTTTGTTGCTTGGCATTGGGAAGGTTCTAAAGTAAGAAAAGTCAGGAAAGTTGTTGGCAATGCTGGTAACGTTTTCAATACTATATGATTTTAAGGCTGAGTCCCTGTTGAAAAGAGCCATATCTAAGAATGAGATATACATACATGGCTGCCAGCCTTTGTGTAACCACATGGGCTTCTCTCTGGAGTCACTGTCCCCACCGCTATGGATGAGTAAGCTCTGCTCTGGGAAGGGATGCTTGGCCTCCATGTTGATGCGCAGCCTCTTCAGACCACAAATAGCCAGGTATTCAGTGGGGAGAGTGTTGGTGCTGCACAGGGAAAGCTTCAGGTCTTGGACCAGCGTGAAGTTCAGCAGGTGGCCCAGCGCAGATGTGTCCGTGAACCAGATGGTCAGATGGCCATTGTAGCTGGTTCGCTCTACTGCAAGGGGCAGGACGGTTTTACAGTTGCACATCAGGTTGGCCAAACTGTAGTCACAATCCCGGATGTCCGCAGAACAGCTGCAGTTCCGAATGGTGTTTTCCCTTGTGAAGATGAGCGTGCTGTTCTTCTGACCTTTGGTGAAGCAGTTAAGTGCAAAGACACCCAGAGTGCTGATCAGAAGAAGACAGTGCCTGGAAGGTGGTGCCATGCTTGCCCAGCATGGGCCAGCGTGTTTATCCCCCCTCTTTTTGAACCAATTTGTTGGAACTCACCTGAAAGAAAAGAGGCAGCTTTATCACAACCTTTCATTTGAAATACACAGCTTATGGAAAAGGAACCCCAGAAAAAAACAAGTTGTAAACATTTCTTTCTTGCAGTTCTAGTAACTGTTTCCTGAGCCACAGGCAATGCTTGCAGCCCAGGCACTGGGCAAGCTCTTTTCTCAGCACCTCATCCAGAGACAGCAGCCAAACCTTTGAGCTCTGCTCATCTGAGGTGTAAAACTCCCAGTGATGTTGGCTGACAGTGAGACCAACATGCCAACAACACAGCCAGAGCGATGCCAGAGCGGATGCCAGAGAGGAGACCTACCGCATCCTATCTATGGGCAGGGATTTGGAGTTGAAAGAGCACATTCTCCAAACATCCAATTACTAGCATGAAGCGCCCAAAAACCCCTGAACATGACATGCTTTCCTCCCCCTCAATATCTGACTTCCTGGAATTCGGGAGACAAACACTTCTTTGTTGGATTCAGCTATCCAAGCGCTACCTATTACACAACATAGCATGAATACCAATGAAGCATTTAGTTAATGGCAAGCTTTAATTTCTAAGTAGATAAACATGCCTCCCATCCCCACCATATTAATCTGTTTGTGAGTCCATTCATCCTGTTCAGGGCCTCTTACAAATGTACCTAGGTAACTGTGGTAATAGACAACAAAAAGACTAATCACCCACCGATTAATCACAATTATTTTGACTTAGCTACTCTTATGCCAGAAGAAATTTATGAACTGATCTTGTCAATGTATTGCAGGGCTCCAAAACAAAACCATATATAAGAACTTCTAAAAAATCTAAATAAGGTAGGGATGCATGGGTAATTTAAAGAGCAGCACCAATGTCCAGTTTTGGGTAAAAGCCCTACAGTGTCTGGCATATGACAGATGCAGGATCCTCCTTTGTGGTGTGATTGGAATGAGATGAGATGAGCATTATGGCAGAGTGTACCACATTTCAGTTTGGCGAAAGTAATAACATTCCCCCAATGACTGAGGAGAGAAACCAAACAATACAATTCAGTCTTCTCCATTTGCTAAGCTCCATGGGTGTGGTGGGATACTTGGCATGCGACCTCTGAGTGGGAGGGCCCAGAGCTACTGGCAGGGCCACTACACTAAGGGCCAGGGAGCCACAGATGGAAGGGTCAGTCTGAAGAGCTCAACATGTGTCCAAAGAGTACAGTGACAGCAGGAAAGAGGCTAGGCAGACAAGCAGCAATTAGGGTGTAAGATGAGGCCACAAGGCAATTAGAAATCCAAAGGAATCAAGGCTAAAAATGCCAGGGATCGGGTAGACAGGCAGGAGGCACAAGCCACAACCCCATGGCTGGGATGCCAGGAGGATAGAAGTAAGCTCTGCCGCGTAAACTTGAACAGAGGGTGAGACATTGATTCACAGCAACTGTGACTGTATTCATGCATTCATCCCTCCCTTCCTTCCTTCCTTCATTTCTTCATTTCTTCCTTCCTTCTTTCCTTCCTTCCCTCCTTCCCTCCTTCCCTCTTTCCTTCCCTCCTTCCCTCCTTCCTTCCCTCCTTCCTTCCTTCCTTCCTTCCTTCCTTCAACTAATGCTTATTGGAAGATTACTAGGTGGCATGCCCTCTGCTAGCCATGGGGGTACAACTCAGAACAAGACAACCCAGGGCCCAGTCCTCATAGAACTTATGTCCTAACGAAATTGATTCTGCTTCCAATGGGCTGGGGCGTCATAGCCCAAAGCCAGGCCCGTCCTGCATGTGAGGATGGAGAGGCTATAGCAGTGGGGAGGAGGCGAGAGGAGGGGGCAAATGCAGGAGTTAGGCAGGGCCCAGCCTGGGCTGTGTGCCAGGCCCTGGCTTAGGCCAAGCAGAAGAAACAAAGATACAAAAGACCTGGATCCTATCCTCCAGGATTTATCCTCAAAGGAAAAAGACCAATAAGGCTGAACTGAGAAGCACTGTACTGAACATACAGGCGGCTATGAGAACATAGCAGAGAGAGAGAGAGATTCGACGCGGGGGACTGGATAAGGCGGTTTAGAGTGCTTTGTATCTATTTTGAAGTTGGCACAGGATTTTCTTAAAGGCTTCTTATTAAATGTATTAATAGGTACATTTTGTCATGAAAGAAAGAGCTTTGAGAAACGTGGAGAACAAGCGTTCTCCCTGAACAAGAGGCTTAACAGTCTTAAGCAGTGTTAGAATGTGGGTGTGTCTACCCCCTTAGTGAGGAACGGTGTATAATTTATTAATTACAAGATAATTTTAGACAATCAGCTGTCCCAGATTCCACTGGAGGCCTCTGGGACTTCGTGTCCCAGTAACCCTGTTATCCCAGAACCAGGAATGCTGTCAATACTGTTGGCCCACCCTGACCCTAGCCTTAAAAGAAAAAAGAGGGGAGAGGTCTATTCATCAGCCCGAACCTAGTGAGAAAAGTGTCTGCCTCCCTGTTTCAGGTGCTGATCCTTTTAGAGGCAGCCGTGGAAGAGGAAAAGAGATCAGAAGAGAAAAGGATATTGGTTTGCGGAACATGTGGGACAAGAAGTTCCCAGAAGAATTTGTGAGCAACTTCCCGACAGTAAGGCCCTGGCTAGACCTCAGGATGGTCCCTGCCTCCTGGACATTAGGAAGCCCAAAGGCCAGAACAAAAACACATGCCTAGTGGGGGAAGGCTCACTAAGAGGGCACCAAGTGGGGCAAATACCCCTGGTAACCCATTTATGGAGGCTGCCACAGAAATGCTAGTTGGAAATTTTCCTCCTTCAGTCTATCATGAATTTCTTTTTTCTCTTTTGAGATGAAGTCGCCCGGGCTGCAGTTCAGTGGTGCAATCTCAGCTCACTGCAAGCTCTGCCTCCCAGGTTCCAACGATTGTCTTGTCTCAGCCTCCTGAGTAGCTGAGATTATAAGCACGCACCATCATACCCGACTAATTTTTGTATTTATAGTAGAAATGGGGTTTTGCCATGTTGGCCAGGCTGGTCTTGAACTCCTGACCTTAGGGTGATCCACCCATCTTGGCCTCCAAAAGTGCTGGGATTACAGGCATGAGCCACTGCACTCGGCTGTACCGTGATTATTAGTTCAAGGTTCTCTTTCACTGGGGTAAAGACCTTAAGAGAGCAGTTTTTGGGCTTTATATTCTCAATTTCCCGCACAGTGCCTAGCACATAGCAAGGACTCAACAAATTTCATTGAATGAATGAAAAAACATAGTTTACCAAATGTCAGTGTACTCAAACTCTTTTAACTGCTAGCTATAGAAATCCAATTAAGACTCACTTGGGTAAAAAAAAATAAAAAAATAAACAAAATAAACTGCTCACTTATTTGAAAAATTAAGGAAGGATTTCAGGCATGGCTTGATCCAGCTACTCAAAAAAGGTTGTCAGAAATGTCTGTCCGTTCTTCATTTATTCTTTCTCATTTGTGGGCTTTGTTCCCAGATAAGATCACTCCTTCTGGGGACAAGATGGTCACTAGTAGATCCAGGTTTACTTTCTATCAGCTGAGCAACCTCTCAAGAAAAAATAAATAAATAAATAAACCTCTCTTTAAATAGCACCAGGCTGCTGGGTGTGGTGGCTCATACCTGTAACCCCAGCACTTTGGGAGGCTGAGGTAGGAGGATTGTGGGAAGCCAGGAGTTCAAGACCAGCCCAGCCAACATTGTGAGACATAATCTCTACAAATAAAATAAATTAGTTGGACATGATGGTGTGCACCTATAGTCCCAGCTACTCGGGAGGCTGAAGCAGAAGGATCACTTGAGTCTGAGAATTCGGTGTTGTTTAAGCCACCCTGTTGTGGTATCTGCTATGGCTGCACAGGCAGAAATAGGGACACAAGTGCAGGTTCAGGGCAAGGTGTGTGAGCACACTCAGTCCCTGGCCTCGGAGTCTCTCTGGATGGCTTCTTGCCTAGGGTGACTGACAGAGGGAGGGATGATATGCAAAGGCACCTGTTCTCCTCATGACCTAACCCCAATTCTTACTCCACGGGTTCATGACAGCCTATTCTGCTGGAGACTGTGTCTTAAAACTTCCTCCCCTAGTTTCTCTCAAGTACCCCTCGTGAGCTGTGATTTCACTGGGCTTTGAACTCTTAGGCCATTTGAGGCTGCAGTGAGCTATGATTGTATCACTGCACTCCAGCCTAGATGACAGAACGAGACCCCATCTCTAATGAATAAATAAATATGGCTGGGCACAATGGCTCAGGCCTGTAATCCCAGCATTTGGAAGACCAAGACAGGCAGATCGCTTCAGCTCAGGAGTTCGAGATCATTCTGGCCAACAAGGCGAAACCCTGTCTCTACCAAAAATACAAAAATTAGCCAGGCAGGGTGGCATGTGCCTTTAATCCCAGCTACAGGGAGGCTGAGGCAGGAGAATCACTTGAACCTGGGAGGCAGAGGTTTCAGTGAGCTGAAATTGTGCCACTGCACTCCAGCCTGAGTGACAGAGTGAGACTTTGCAACCAAAAAATAAAATAATAATAATAATGAAATAAATAACCAAATAAGTAAATAAATAAATATTAGGAGGCAAAAATACATTGGACTCCTGAGTCGTACACTCAGCTTGGGAGCCAATGAATGGGATCAGCCCCACTGCAAAGAGTGGACTGAGAGGGTAGAAGGATGGTTCTGCAAAGGGAAATCAGGAGGCGCTATCAGAAAAGGGCCAGGTAGGCAGTCAGAAAGGTGGGTGCCCACAAGACCCATGGGATGAGCATGGGTGAGCATTGCAACTCTACTCCTCTCAGTCTCAGCAAACACTAAAGCACCACTTTGATAAAATGCCCTCTAAGAGTGCAGATATATGTCTGACTTTGTGGGATATATTCAGATTTTCAAATTGGCTCCTTTACTGGAGGGCCCCTCGATTTTACCACCCAAGAATCTTCAAGGATTTTTGCAGGGACACACTTTGGGTACTGCATTTGTGAGCAATAGCCCTGCTTACCTCTCCAAGTCCTGGCTTCACAGTGTGTTCCTTGGGGTGCCCGGGCCCTAGCTTTCTTCTGGCTTTAACCCCAGAGCCATAACTCAGATCTATACTTGAGACTGCTTCTTGCCAGGGCATCTTCTCAGCTTCTGACTCTTGAGCCTTTCACAATTTTCTTCTCTTGAGTCTTTCCCCTAATTGCATTTCCACTTTAAAAATAAAAATCACAGCCAGGCATGGTGGTTCACACCTGTAATCCCAGCAGTTTGGTAGGCTGAGGGGGGCAGATCATTTGAGGTCAGGAGTTCAAGACCGGCCTGGCCAACATGGGGAAACCCTGTCTCTACTAAAAATACAAAAATTAGCCAGGTGTGGTGGTGCACACCTATAATGCCAGCTACTCAGGAGGCTGAGGCACGAGAATTCCTTGAACCCGGGAGGCAGAGGTTGCCGTGAGCCGAGATCGCACCACTGCACTCCAGCCTGGGTGACAGAGTGAGTGAGACTCTATCTCAAATAATAAAATAAAAACCACTTTTGATTTCAAATTAAGCTCACTTCCAAATTACGTTTTTAAATTGCTTTTGATTTTTAATTGCTATAAGGATTTGGAGAATGTCACTTGATTTTTCCACAATTAGTTATTTGTCTTTTGTGTTAGGACTATAGAGCTCAGAACATCATTATTTATGACATTTCAAATCTGTTTTGGGCAAATGCTCCAAATGCTGTCCTCCCACTGACACAATATCTCCTTACTAGTAATATCTTCTTATAAACAGAACTAGTCAAGTTTGAAACATTCCTTTTGAAGCCAAGTATAAACATTATCTAAATGTTGGGTGTAATCCTAGATTGAGAAGGAATCTGTGTGGAATTTGTTTTGAAGTAACTGATGTCTGTATCTCCTCAATTTAGAACCCTCTGTCTTTATGCAGCTAGTTGCTAGTATTGTTCTTGAGATTTCTTCAGCTGCAATACAAAAATAATACTCAAACTGATTCTGAATAGTAGCTCTGGTTTTTAAACATGTCCAGTGATTTAAAGGCTCAAATATTTAATAATCATGCACAAAGGCTCAAATATTTAATAAGTAAGCACATAGGCCGGGTGTGGTGGCTCACGCCTGTAATCCCAGCACTCTGGGAGGCCAAGGCAGGTAGATCACGAGGTCAGGAGTTCGAGACCAGCCTGACCAATGCGGTGAAACCCTGTCTCTACTAAAAATACAAAAATTAGCTGGCCATGGTGGCATGTGCCTGTAATCCCAGCTACTCAGGAGGCTGAGGCAGGAGAATCGCTTGAACCCAGGAGGCAGAGGTTGCAGTGAGCTGAGATCGCGCCATTGCACTCCAGAGTGAGACTCTGTCTCAAAAAAACAAAAAAAAAACCAAAAAAAAAAAAAACATGCACAGTTTTTAGCATCTTGACTGAAAAATTTGGATGTGTAGACATCCCCTGAGTATTTGTCATGGTTGCATCAAGCTACTTATTGCGTCTTACAACCTAGGTATATCAGAGACTTCTAGTCCCTGTGAATGCCATGTTCTCCTCTCCTTCTTTAGCACACTGTTGGACTTCATTTCTGAGCTTCTGGTAGTGAAGTGGTACCATGTGATTGAGTTCTGGCCAATGGAATATGGTGGAAGATTCCACGAAGGAACCGACGGCCCTAGAAGATGGCAGAACTGTAGACAAAAGGCTGAATCCCTGAATGATTGTATGAAAGAGAGCACACCCCTCTTCCCCCTTAATGGCATTAGTCTGTGATGTAAGGGAGGAACAGATCTCAATTACTCTAAGCCACTGATATCTTGAAGTTTGTCAAAGCAGCTAGCCTACCCTGCTAGCTGGGTACAATACAGCAGGTGCTAATATTGCTTTGCAACTTAGGATTTTTACATCCTCTTTTCTCAAAAGAAAATGAGAAATCAACATTTAGAGGACATTTATTGGATGCCAGGCAAATGGCCTAAGTCATGGGGAAGCAAAAATGAAGAAGATATCATCCATGCCCTCAAGGGACTTGAAGTGTGCCCAGAGAACTTGGAATGTACTCTGGGAACAAACAACTGGGCAACTAATTATAAGACAATGTGATTGGTAGTTCTTAAAGATGCAGATGGAGGCCAGGCACAGTGGCTGACGCCTGTAATTCCAGCACTTTGGGAAGCCAAGGTGGGCAGATCATCTGAGGTCAGGAGTTTGAGACCAGCCTAGCCAACATGGTGAAACCCTGTCTCTACTGAAAATACAAAAAAATTAGCTGGGCGTGGTGGTGGGCACCTGTAATCCCAGCTACTCAGGAAGCTGAGGCAGCAGAATCACTTGAACCTGGGAGGCGGAGGTTGCAGTGAGCCGAGATTGCGCCATTGCACTCCAGCCTGGGCAATAAGAGTGAAACTCATCTCAAAAGAGAAAAAAAAAAGATGCAGATGGAGTGGTGGTAAGGGAGAAACGGAAAGACTCTCAAAGGATGTGCTCTTTGGGCCAGGCAGAGAAGAGGTTCGGGTTAGGAAGGGCGAGGCAGTGCAGATATAAGAGTCATTGGCGCAGATGTCAGAATGACTAAAGTCCTTAGTATGTTTAGAGCAGGTATAAGACATCTGGAGGTCCATGAGGCTGGGGATGTAGGCAGGAAGACAGGGTTAGACAGGACCTTGCTGGTCAAGCTAAGGGGTTTGGACTTTATGCTGGCAGTTACTTGGTCTCCAAACTCTTCTGATCATCACCCCATCAATAAATGATTTTAAAACCCTCCCCAATAGATGTATCTGTTAATTTATAAAGGCCATTCACATATTACCATGCTTACATATCATCTGTATTATCAACAATACACAAACTGTAGCATTTTTAAAAATTTAAGATGAAAAATAAATAAAAATGAAAGTTTGAATATTTTCAGCTCTACCCCACTAGCTTGGCTTGCAAACCTCCTGTGAGGTAAGCTCCCTCTTTGGAGGCTCCTGCAAGAGACAAAAAATGAGATGGTAAAGGTCTGAAGCAGGAGACATCTACTTAAATCTTGTTTAAGGAAGGTAACCTAGGTTGCCAGGGAGAGACTGAATCTGGGGAGAAAACACTAGTCAGGACAGTGAATTCTAAATAGTTTTCTTTTGTATTTTCCTCAGTGATTTCCATCTCTCCATTTGTTGACTCCTTCTAACTCCAGGCTCTTTGGATAAATTTGTTTCAATATCTGGAATCCTCAAGGGGATGGAGAGAACCAAGAATGTAGGATTGAGAAGGTGGGGATGAGGATGAGGCTGTCTTCCTCCTATGAGCATGAGTCAGGATACCTGCTAGAACCTCCAGGAGGGAACCAGTGGTACAGGGAGCAGGAGAGCCCAGTGGGCAGCACAGCAAAGCATTTGTCTCTCTCTGTCTCCCAGGCTGGAGTGCAGTGGCGCGATCTCGGCTCACTGCAACCTCCCACTCCTAGGTTCAAGCAATTCTTCTGCCTCAGCCTCTCATCGTTGTCTCATTCTTAGCATCCCAACACAGCTTGCCTGGGAACGCCACTCCCTGAGACATCCACTGTGAGCCCTGACAGCCACGAGAAAAACATAGCTCATTTTCTCAGAGTTAGGAGCCTCTGGGTGGCTTCATCAGACTGGCAGCAAGCCTAGCTGCTAGTGAGGGCTAGTTATGGCAAACTATGGAGTAGGTGGAGTAGCTCTCCGATCCCCAGTTCCCCTTGATGTGCCTTCCTCTTAACTCCCTGATCATCCATTCTTTTCTTTCCAGGAGCCAGTGCTGAAAACCCGCTCACAGATTGGTATCTGATACCAGTTGGTTAGGCCTTAATCGGAATTTAAACTGACACATTCTTGTCCAAGGGTATTTGCACTGTAAGCCTTATGGCTACCTTGTTCCTTATTAGAGAGATAGCAAGGATCAAACAGAAAGTATGGGAGGAGTGTGGGGTGGAGACCCACGCTGGGCTCCAGAAACAAGTGGTCACCTGTTCTCAGGTCCAGTGCCCACTTGTCCAGGGCTGTGCAACCCCTCTTCCCGTTGAGGTCAAGGAGGGGTGTTGGCTATTCTGTTATGTGGATGAGATGCCCACACAGGCAGTGTGAGGGCTTTAGCTGTAGGACCTTGAAATGCTCTTGAAAAAAGGGATTTTTAGCATTTTTCTTTTCTTTGGCTTTGTTCCACGAATGCACTGCAGGAGATAGGTTAGAGATAAACACTATGTAAGATATTTGAAAACGGAATGATATCTTTGTTGTTTACTATTTCAAAGCTTATGAAGTTGAAAACTAATTTGGGTCCCTCCCCAATGTTTTCTTACTGTGATACTGTGATACTGTGATACTGTGTCTTTTATTTCTTCTTCACATTCCACAACAGCACATCCTCATCCTTGGTATGAGCCACTGAATTTTCACAGGCCCTTGCAAGGATCTAATGCTGAAGTCACCGTTCTGTGCAGTCTCTGTGGGTGAAGATCACTTCCCTTTCATTGTGGTTTACACAGTTCATTGTGCGGGGCAGGAAATGAGTTCCCAGTAATTCTGATGTGATCGGAATCTCATTTGGTTTCTATAGTAGGATCTAAACTATATGCTCTCATCTGATATTTTTGCTCATCTAGAAAAAGATGAAGTAAATTCATGTCTCCATAAGTTGGAATTATGCAGGCAAAATTAGCTTCAAGTATGCAATTTGGGTTTTGAGAGGACACACTTTAAAATATTTTTGTGACTGTTCATGTTGAACTCACTAGTATATAGTTGGATCAGTCGGAGAACCTGTCTGAGTCTTATTTCTCTTGACAGGGCACAGGATAATAATCCAACCACACAGGTTGCAAAAGCAAAGTAGATGCATGTGATTATATATATATATATATATATGAATAGTACTATATTATTTATTTATTTTGTTTAGAGATGGGGTCTCACTATGTCATCCAGGCTGGTCTTAAACTCCCAGGCTCAAGTGATTCTCCTGCCTTGGCCTCCCAAGGTGCTAGGATTATAGGCATGAGCCACCACACCCAGCCTGAATAGTTCTGTAGTATTATGTATATTGTATACTCATAAGTACTCATAGGCATGCTACAATATACATAGTACTATTCATAGACATTGATATTTTGTAATATCAGAGTCATAGTGATAACAAATGTATTACCATGCTCTGTGAGGGCATCCCAAAAGCCACCCCAAAGAAATCTAAAGTAACTGGTTCATTTAATGCATTACTTGTATCAAACATTTGACTAGACAGAGAACAAGCACAGCGTAAAACAAAAATGTCTCTCTGCATGATTTTTCCTGTAATTAATCCAATCAGATTTACAAACGTCCTCCTGTAAATTCTGAGGATTGTGAGGTCCTGAAATTATTAGTGAGCTAGTCTGGAAAATAGAAATTAATTATCTGATTCCCATTTCTACTAACTTAAATGTGAATGAAATGTTTAAAGGAACAGCAGGAATATGGGATGTGATCAAAACACTTTATTTCTGATCTCCAACTGTGCCTAATGGATGTTATAGTAGGTCAAATAATGGTCCCTAAAGGTGCCTGTGTCCTAATACCTGGGCCCTGTGAATACATTACCTTACATGGCCATAAGGCCTCTACAGATGCTATTAAATTAAGAAACTTGAGATAAGGAGATGATCCTAGATTATCTGGGTGGGCCCAATGTAATCAACAGGGTCCTTATAAGAAGAAGGCAATATGACAACTGAAGCAGAGATTGGAGCAATGTGGCTACAAGCTGAGAAATGCGAGCAGCCTCTAGGAGCTGAAAGAGGCAAGGAACAGATTTTCCCTTGGAGTCTCCAGAAGGAACCAGGCCTACTGACACCCTCACAGTAGCCTGGTCAGACTGGTTTTGAACTTCTGACCTCCAGAAGTGTAAAATAATATAGATATGTTGTTTCAAGCCACTAACATTGTAGATTATATTTTTTTTTTTTGAGATGGAGTCTCGCTCTGTCACCCAGGCTGGAGTGTGGAGTGCAGTGGCACGATCTTGGCTCACTGCAATCTTTGCATCCCGTGTTCAAGCAATTCTCCTGCCTCAGCCTCCTGAATAGCTGGGATTACAGGTGTGCACCACCATACCAGGCTAAATTTTATATTTTTAGTAGAGATGGGGTTTCACCATGTTGGCCAGGCTGGTCTCAAACTCCTGACCTCAAGTGATCTGCCTGCCTCAGCCTCCGAAAGTGCTGGGATTACAGGTGTAAGCCACTGCGCCTGGCCAAGTTGTAGAAATTTTTTATAGCAGCAATAGGAAATGAATACAGAGACGGTGAGGAAACCAAACCACCACATCAAACCACCCTTGTGGACCAAACCAGCCCTTCTGTATTCACAGCCCTGCAGTGTTTGCTAATTACATTATGTGGTTTATTCCTCTCATTAGCCTGGATCATTGGTAACTAGTCTCCTGAAATACCGAGCTCAATGCTCCCATAGAATAGTCACACTATGTTGGACCCAGCCAAGCCCAAATGGATACATCTGGCTACGTCTTATGAGTTGAGGGGGAACCATCTTCAGGTGGTTAATTGCATACATGGAATTGTTGAAGGAGAGCGAAGACGATATGGGAGGGCCCAGGGCAGGGAAGAGCAGAGGGATGGGACAGTGGCATTTGTGTCTTTCCAGCCCAAACGTATGCCTGAGGCTGAGTCCGGTCAGGTAGCAAGCAGAGGCTGCAAGAAGTGCTTTTAAGAATTCTGAGATGTGAGGCACAAGTGGCCCCCTGCCCAGGCAAGAAAGGGTGACATTGAGTGGTGGACAGAAGCATTTTCTCCACTTCTGTACTGAGTACAGCTCAGCTCTAGCACAGTGAGGAATGAGGGACAGATGGCACTATTTGACCCTTTCTCAAGAACAGACTGGGGCTACCCCTGGATTTTGCTCTCTGGTCATCAAGCAACAGGGAGCCCCATGGCCAAGGTAAGGGACAGTCAGCATCCAGTGGGGGCTGGGGACAGAAGCAGATGAAAGGACCATTGTGCGCATAGGCAAGACCCCTGGGGACTCAAAGAAGCACCTAGAGGAAATTCTGTTTTGTAGACGTAGTGGTGGGAGGAGGCAAGGACCTGTATCTGGTAGGTGGGAGCACGAGCCAACAGAATACAAGCTATTCGTGTTCACTTAACTTCATCTGTGCCCTCTGGCTGGTGAAGCCAGGAGCTCTTCAGGTATCAGCTGGATTACCTGTTTGAGATTAAATTGATTGAATCATAGAAATAGACTAAAGTGCTTAGGAGCTTAGAAGCTGAGTAAGAACTGACTGAAAAGTAGATATTTTATTTGGAAAGCACTGAGCTCACCTGGGTATTAATTTCACCCACTAATTTGCTGCCTGGATGCGGGGCTTCCTTGTTGGTTTACTGTGGGGTTTTATTAGTCCATTTTCATGCTGCTGATAAAGACATACCCAAGCCTGGGTAATTTACAAAAGAAAGAGGTTTAATGAACTCAGTCCCACATGGCTGGGAGGCCTCACAATCATGGTGGAAAGTGAGTCGTGTCTCACATGGTGGCAGACAAGAGAAGAGTGAGAGCCAAGTGAAAGGGGTTTCCCCTTACAAAGCCATCAGATCTCGCAAGACTTATTCACTACCACAAGAACGTTATTGGGAAAACCACCCCCGTGATTCAATAATCTCCCACTGGGTCCCTCCCACAACATGAGGGAATGATGAGAGTTACAATTCAAGGTGAGATTTGAGTGGGGACACAGCCAAACCATATCAGGGGGTCAGGTTTCTGATGCCTTCTTGCTGATTGCGGTTTCCCCAGTCCTTAGCACAGGGCCTGGCACATAGGAGCACTCCATGACTATTTATATTATCCAAATGAGTCCCTACATTTGCTAAGCCAATGAGGCATGTTATTGATCCTTGATTCCCTCTTATGCCTTTTTTTTTTTTTTTGAGACAGAGTTTTGCTCTTATTGCCCAGGCTGGAGTGCAATGGCTTGATCTTGGCTCACCACAACCTCCGCCTCCCGGGTTCAAGTGATTCTCCTGCCTCAGCCTCCCGAGTAGCTGGGATTACAGGCATGTGCCACCACACCCGGCTAATTTTTAGTAGAGACGGGGTTCCTCCGTGTTGGTCAGGCTGGTCTCGAACTCCCAACCTCAGGTGATCCACCTGCCTCAGCCTCCCAAAGTGCTGGGATTACAGGCGTGAGCCACCACACCCAGCCCCTCTTTTGCCTTTTACCTCCTAGGATTGTCGAGTGTTAGCAAATCCGCAGGCAAAATTCATATTCTTCTTCAGCGACTTTCATTGTATGGCCTAGACATGGCAGAAAAACCAGAATGAGTTTCTGTGTATGGGTGACAGGGTGGGAATTTGAGCTTACTCTCCTATGGCCTAGCTGTGCATCATCCTTGAAAGCCATTGAATGACATCTGGCAAAATCCCAGGAGGCACCTCCAACCTCCTGTGACTTTACAAAAGGCCTAGTCTAGGTTCCTGATTGCCTTACAACTTTCCTGTGAATCTGATGAGGAGGAAGCGTGAAATACACTTGGCTAGAATGGAGACCGTGAGTCCCAAGTCAGGCCTCCAGTCACTGCCCTTCCATCTTATGCCACACACCTTCCGAGGGGCGAAGGAAAACATGAGTAGAATTAGTATATTTTGGTCTCACAGATATTTGTGAGCATCACGAAGCCATTCCCCTAATTGCTCTTGGTTGAGAGATTACAACAGCCCTTGCTGCAAAACTCCCCCACAACCTAACCTTTCAGAGTCCAATCTTGCAAAGCTAACTCAGGGAGAGCTTTGCTTAAATTACTGGGCTAGTATTATGTGAGTGTGAAGTTGCCAAGGAAAATGAGTCAGACACTAATCCCTTTGCTAGGAGATGAGAGAAAAAAAAAAAAAGGCTGGCAGACCTTTACTATTTTAATTACCTGCTTCCAGAACAATAAAAGAGAATTCAGATCTTCCACTTAACAGTCGTGCCCTTCTTATATTCCCGTAAAGTACCTGCACTATTTCCTTAAGATGTAAGCCTTGGGCTTTTTTCCTTTCAACTGTGTTCAAGCTATAGTTCCGACCATTCGATTTTGGACAAAAATAAGAATTAAAATTTCCTTTGCTGGTTTTAGTTACAAATATTGGAACCAATGAACATTTAAACCTTGTTTCTTTCTTGAAAGATTTTTCAGAGTTTTAAAATGCTTCCTGGGAATGATGACTAAAGGTAATGTGGGATCCTGGATGAGATCCTGGGACAAAAAAAAGGACAATGGGTGAAATCTAAGGACATCTGAATAATGTTTGGACTTTATTTTATAATAATAATGTGTCAATACTGGTTCATTAATTGTGACAAATATACCATACTCATGTAAGATGTTAACTCTATATAAGAACTCTCTATTATCTTCACGATTTTTCTGTAAACCTGAAACTATTGCAAAATAAGAATTTTATTTAAAAAGAGTGAATCCTGATCTCATTGATGACTCTTTGACGATTAGTTTTGTGACAGCAGCAGAGCTCCAGTAGATAATCTGGCATCACAATTTGGGCTAAACCGAGTGCCCATGAAATAGTGTCTAGGCACAACTCCAAATGAATTCTTCAGACCTCCTGGCCACAGAGAAGATTCTTTTTTTGTTTTTTTTAATGACCCAGAGACCAGGCATTTCAGAGATGGAAATGCGAAGTAATCCTTTTATGGGAAGTGGATCAAAACTGGGAAAGGAGAGGCATCACGGCATGTTGTGGGGACAAGCCTCGAGGGGTGCGTGTGTGTGTGTGTGTGTGTGTGTGTGTGTGTGTGTGTGTGTGATGTCTCACTGGGCTTTTGTTGTTCTTTCTTCTTTTCTTTCTTCCCTCCCTCCTTCCTTTCTTTCTTTCTTTCTTTCTTTCTTTCTTTCTTTCTTTCTTTCTTTCCTCTTTCTTTCTTTTTCCTCTCTTCCTTTCTCTCTCTCTTTCTTTCTTTCCTTTTTTGAGACAAGGTCTTGCTCTGTCACCCAGGCTGGAGTGCAGTGGCTCACTGTCACCTTGAACTTCTGGGCTCAGGCAAGCCTCCCAACCTCAGCCTCCTGAGTAGCTAGGACTATAGGTGCGTACCACTGGCTAATGTTTAAAATTTTTTGTAGAGACACAGACTCACTGTAGTGCTCAGGCTGATCTACAACTTCTGGCCTCAAGAGATCTTCCCACCGCCCAAAGTGTGGGGATTACAGGCATGAGCCACCGCGCCTGCCCCCATTGTGTTTTCTTATTCTCCAATCTGGACCCCATTCGCCTCATGCTGCTTATGTTGCCCTCTGTGTTTGGGGATGATTTCTGTTTCTTGTCCACTAAGAAACTACCTTCATCTCTGATACTGTCTTCAAATCTCTCCTCTTTCATGACATTTTATTATGCTGGGGGAATAGGTGACAGTTCTTGTTTGACTCAAACCTACTTTTCTTAGAGTGCAACATCAGTCTATTGTAAGATAAATTAAAAAAAAAAAAGAGCTTTTGTAAGCCAATCTGTTATCACACAGAGCCTAGTACCTAGTCGTGTTAGATTTTTAAGCCACTCCAAAAAACCAGACTTTTGCTGTAATCATTCTATTGCAACCATTCTCATCAGGTTCCCAGTGAATCCCACCACCCCCATACCAAATCCAGTGATTAATTTCCTGGTCTCATTTTGTTTGACTTCCCACAAGCATCTGACTTAGTTGCCTCCCCCTTCTTTTTGAGTGAATAGTTTTCTGTTCCTCCATGATGTCACATTCTCCTGGTTTTCTGGCTCCTTCAATGGCCACTCCTTCTCAGTCTTTTGGCTGGCATTTGATCTTTTTTTTTTTTTTTTTTTTTTTTTTGAGACGGAGTCTCGCTCTGTCGCCCAGGCTGGAGTGCAGTGGTGTGATCTCGGCTCATTGCAACCTCCGCCTCCCGGGTTCACGCCATTCTCCTGCCTCAGCCTCCAGAGTAGCTGGGACTACAGGCGCCCACCACCATGCCCGGTAATTTTTTTTTTTTTTTTTTTTTAGTGCAGACGGGGTTTCACTGTGTTAGCTAGGATGGTCTGACTCTCCTGACCTCGTGATCCGCCCGCCTCGGCCTCCCAAACTGCTGGGATTACAGGCGTGAACCACCATGCCCGGCCCTGATCTTCTTACCTGTTATTGTTGCATGTCCCCAGCTCAGTGCATGGCTGTCTTCTGTATGTGCGTCCACTCTCTTGGTGCCTGCATGCTGTCCTGTGAAGTTAAATACCACCTAGATGCTGATGGTGAACTGAGATACGTCTCTAGCTCCTGACTGCATCATGCTCACATGTCCCACATTGTATCTGATAGCTCTTTCTGAATGTCTAGTAGACATCTCCAACTTAACATGCCAAATACACAGCTCCTGATTCCCAAGAAAGTTCAGACTCCTATGAGAAATGTTACTGTACCAGTAATTCACTGTTCCTCAGCCCTGTGTTCCCAAGGCTAAGCTAGCTAAATACAGCAAATTGTCATTGATAAAGAGGCAACATACTATAATATATAAAATGTGATACATGTATGTTGTATACTGAAAATTGAATGAAATCAGGAACTATCCATATTTTTATTCACTAATAGTAAGATCTAATGAGTGTTTCTTTTGTGCCAGGTACTGTTAAGTG
Organism: Homo sapiens; assembly: GCF_000001405.40. Classification (NCBI taxonomy): domain Eukaryota; kingdom Metazoa; phylum Chordata; class Mammalia; order Primates; family Hominidae; genus Homo; species Homo sapiens. The sequence goes on from NW_003315969.2 coordinate 41,978, forward strand.
TTTCACGTGTTTTATGTTATTTAATCCTTTCTGTAATCCTACAGGTAGATATTATGGCCCCCCCTCCCCTTTTTTTTTTAGACCGAGTCTCAGTCTGTCACCCAGGCTGGAGTGCAGTGGCACTATCTCGGCTCACTGCAACCTCTGCATCCCGGATTCAAGTAATTCTCCTGCCTCAACCTCCCGAGTAGTTGGCATTATAGGTGTTGCACCACCACGCCCAGCTAATTTTTGTATTTTTAGTACAGACTGGGTTTCGCCATTTTGGCCAGGCTGGTCTCGAACTCCTGACCTCAAGTGATCCACCCACCACAGCCTCTCAAAGTGCTGGGGTTACAAGCATGAGCCACTGCATATGGTCCCATTTTCATATCAGGAAATGATACATGGGTACTCAGGGAGGTTAAATAACTTGTCCAAGGTCACAGAACTAGTTAATAATGGCTAAAATTTGAACCCAGACAGCCAACTATACTCTGAAGAGTCATGGTGGAAATTACAGCGCTATTTCCTACCCCAGGGTCTTGGGCCTATTCAAGTGAGATTCCATGCATTGTATTCTATTACTAGATGCTGTAGCCTTTAACCTATATGTGTATAGAACCCTCATGCTAAATGCTATGATTTGAATGTGTTTCCTAAAGTTCACGTGTTGGAAACTTAATCCCCAGTGCAACAGTGTTGAGAAGTGGGAGCTTTAAGGGGTGACCTTTAAGAGGGCGGTGCCCTCATGAATGGATTAATGCTGTTATTGAGGAGTGGGTTGGTCACCATGGGAATAGGTTTCAAATAAAAGGATGAATTTGACCCCCTTTCTCTCTGTCTCTCTTATGTGTGTGCACATGTTCTCTTGCCCTTTCACCTTCCACCATGGAATGAAACAGCAAGAATGCCCTTGCCAGATGCAGGCCCCTTGACCTTGGAATTCCCAGTCTCCAGAACCATAAGAAAGAAATTTCTGTTCTTAAGTTCATAATCAGAATAGAGGACAATATGAGCAGAGTGCTGCTTCTGCTAACATAGGTATGGAATGTGGGACAAAGAATTCTCAGAGAGTGAGCCACTGGGAAGTCCTAACTAAAATATGTGGCTACCGTACTTTTCTACTTGACACAGTCCTTGAGAGAGTGAATTAGGCAATGAGTGCAAATCCTTCAGGCTTTCCCCTTGAGTGACTTGGTAGACACTCAGTTAATTGCATCACTGGGGTTCACATCCACAGCTTTGCACAGCTGCCCCTTGGTCCCACGCCCACAGAACTGTGAGGCCTGCCTGTTCTTCCCACTGGGGCCTATTGACCTATTAGCTCCCACAGACACAGACACAAGCCACTGGGCACTGAATTTTAAAAGCTGATAATGTGGCAGCTTTAAGCAGTGAAAAATATTAGTGTGGAAAAGAAAGATGAGAAATCCAAGTCAGCTCTTGAAAAGCACTCATTTCCATAAATACTTTATTGAAACTGTTATTTTCAGAAAATGCCCAATTTCTGTCAGAAAAAAAAGTAATGAAAAGTCTTTTTTTTTCCTTCCAAACATATTGCATTATTTAGACTAAAAAAAAGCAAAAAACTTCTCAAGGATGGCTCTTTTCGGTAAAAAATTTTCAAACAAATGAAGTCTTTTTTTTGGTATTTTTTAAGGGTGGGTTTTTTATAAATATTATGCACAATGTTTTTGAAACATTTCCTGTCCTCAGTATACACCAACATACTTTTTGCTAAAAGCTTTCCAAAAATATGCTTATTAAACAAAGAAATAAATGCAAGACTGTATATGTTCTACTCATTTTGAATTAAAACATTCCCCTCTTCATCTTGCCTTTTGCTACATTATTTATCATGCTTTTTCACTTTTGAATAAAAGACCAATTTTTTAAAAACGCGAACGATCCAATCCAAATGTTAATGCTCATCTTAGCTTACTTTCTTTTCTTTGTTTTCTAATCAGCAAACTCTATAAAGCCTGGTGTGTAAATAGGCAGTAAATATAATATTATTAAAAGATAAAACAGAGCAAAGAAACAGTATCAGCCGGTGTTTTGGGAGTTCTCACTTTTCTTTGTTTGTGATCACAATAAGGAAAAGAGATATCATATCTCTTTTCCTTAATTGTTATTTAGCATTGAAGACTAATGGAAAAGTCTAGCCAGATGTTTTAAAATAGAGACAAGATTTCAAGGAGCTATCTGTTATATTAGCTTTAAGTGAGTTTATCTTTTTAGGGTTTAAATGAGAAGACCATGTCATTCTTTGCTTAATGCACTGAAAATCTTTCATTTTAAAGGCAGAATCTCAGTAAAGAGGAATTCATATGCCTGGAAGCCTAAAAAAGTGTTTCATAGTGAAAGCCACTCATACATGTACATTATGTTCAGGAAATGCAAATGCAACAAGAAGGTGACCCTGACAATGGTTCTTCCAACCGTCACAGTTCCTGCCATGCAGCAGAAATTCTGAAGCTCTGAAAAACTGTCAGACTAGACATGCTTTTTAAAAAAGAAGAACACAGAAATTACTTACATCTGAGAGTTCCACCGTGAGGCCTCGCCTCTCCACTCCACAGACCTCTGCCTGGCCACGGATCCTTCACCCTGGCTTGACAGCTGGTTTAATCTGCAAGCCAGGGTGGAATGCGTGGTCTTGCACTTGCTGTTCTTTTCCGTCTTCGGAGGGCCAGCAGCCTGGTCATTTCCATGGCAACCAGGAGGAAGCTGCTGGCCTACCAGTCTCATTAACTACACGCAGGAGAGAACCTGCCTTGGTGACTGCTGACCACTCTTTTGGGGTTCTAAACTGGGAAGTTTCTAGAAGAAACTGAGGAGACTGTTGCTGTAGGCTGATCCCAAAGGATTGACACAAATGGAAGAAATTCTACTTTAGCAGGAAATTGAATGGATTAAATGTAGAGTACGGAGACTCCTTGATACTTTTACTTTCATGATTTATTCCACCTTTTTTGGTCTGATGAATTGTTACTTATGGTAAATGCCTGCACTACTGTATAAAGTGTCCTATCGTAGTTGTTCCAAAGAAAAAAAACTCATTTGAACTCCAAAGATAGACATTATTCTCTGTCTTTTTTAAAATTCATTTAAAAAAATATTAGAAGCCACAAAACCAATAAATAGGTAACAATTATTCTATGTACATTAACTGATAGTCCATGTGGGCTTCTATAACAAAATACCATTAGTTGGGTAACTTACAAACAACATATTTATTTCTGTAGGCTGGGAAGGCCAAGATCAAGGCAGATTTGTTTTCTGGTGAGGGTCTGCTTCCTGGTTCATAGATGGCACCTTCTAGCTGAGTCCTCACATGGTGGAAGGGAAACTGTGGTTTCTTCAGCTTCTTACAAGGGCACTAATCCCATTCATAAGGGCTCCACCCTCATGACCTAATCACATTCCAACATCTCCACCTCCTATGCTATCACATTAAGGATTAGGTTTCAATATATGTATTTTAAGGGAAGATAAATACCTGGGCCTTAACAACTGATGAAGTCTCACTAAATATGGGAAAAAAAGATAAGGCAGGGGTCCCCGATCTCCAGGCCACGGACTGGTACCAGTCCATGCTACAGTAGGAGTTGAGCAGTGGGTGAGCAAGAGAAGAAGCTTCATCTGTATTTACAGCCGCTCCCTATCAATCACATTACCACCTGAGCTCTGCCTTCTGTCAGATCAGCAGTGGCATTAGATTCTCATAGGATTGAATTGAGAATGCTATTCTATTGTGAACTATTGTGAACTGTGTATGCGAGGGATCTAGGTTGCATGCTCCATATGAGAATCTAATGCCTGATGATCTGTCACTGTCTCCCATCACCCCTAGATGGGACAGTCTAGTTGCAAGAAAACAAGCTCAGGGCTCTCACTGATTCTACATTATGGTGAGTGGTATAAGTATTTCATTATATATTATAATGCAATAATAATACAAAGTGCACAATAAATGTAATCGCTTGAATCATCCCCAAACCACCTCCTACCCCTGCCTGTCTGTGGAAAAATTATCTTCCATGAAACTGGTCTCTAGTGCCAAGAAGGGGACTGCTGAGATAAAGAAAAATCTTGCTAATTAAAAGCACTAGGAGTCTGGAGCAATTGATTTGTAATTACCCAGATACAGATTCTCCAATATGTTAAAGAAGAGAGCACCTCAGTAGGGAAATTTATTCATTCATTTATTTATTATTCATCTACTGAATCCTTACCACACACATGCACTGTGCCAGGAGATTTAAGGGGCACAGAGATCAATGTCATGGTTCTTGTCTTTAAGGAAGTTATACTATAGGAGGGGCAATTATGTAAGTTGCATCTGGGAAATGTTTGAAGGGAGATACAGACACAATGCAGGGGAATCCCAGTGAAGGTCGGCCTTTGCCAGGGAGACTGGTGAAGTCCTTGGGGAGAGGTAGTTTTGGATCTAGGCCTTAAGGGATGGCTGAGATCTGCATGGTCAGATGTGGGGGAAAGGACAACGATCTCTCATGGAGTGATTATTTGATGAACTGCGGATCCAAGCTGATGGATATATCCTTCCTCCTTTCTGCACCCAGAGAGCCTGGCACAAATGGCTTCTCGGTGGCCCACAGGATAAAGGAACTCAAGTAATTAAGAAAATTGCTGGAGCAAAGGTTTGGAGGTGGAAGAGTCCCAGGCCTATTCAGCCATTTGGAAAGCCAGTGAATCACAGCCAGAATAAAGGGAATTGAGAATAGAGAGAGGCTGCTATTGTTGGGTGATCAGTTTCAGCAAAGCACATATATGAATTCTACCATGTAAGAATAGCAAAGTGGATCTTGGTTCAAACCTTGAGTCTGTTACCTTCTTGCACATTATTTAAACTTTATAAGCCTCAGTTTCCTTATCTATAAAGTGGGTATAATAATACTTTGTTGAAAGGTAGAGCTGAGGAAAAAATGAGATAATATATGTGCACTGGATGCCTGAAGATGAGGGAGGGAAAGGCTGGCCAACAATACACCGAATACCCCAACTTTCCAGAGCAACTGTGGCTAATCCAATGGTTTGGCGTACTCAACCTCTATTTCAACATCTTTCTGTCTTGCCTGCCTCTACTGTAGAGACTGGAAATCTCTATTATTCAACACAACAGAGTCTCTTGAAGCTGAGGTTTCAGATGGGATTTAAGTTTTATTATTTATACTTGATTCAGAATGAAGTCACGTGGAGAGAGGATCCTGAGACTTTGGGAATGAATTAAGTGAGAAGAGAGAGGAGAGTACTGGGAATCTCTTGCTGGCCAGGGTCTCAGCAGATATGGCATGGTCTGTTGTGGGGGTGGCCTTCTGACTGAGTTGTTGACTGGTTGTGGCCAATATGGCATGGCTCAAGAGCTGAGGACTGTGGCACTAACTTCCTGTTGGAGAATGTGGCCTCTTAATTCAGCAACTTCCTGGTTGTGGATGAGGTAGTAGCTCCCCATGATGGTTCAATTCTATGGTGACTTTCAGAGTTCAGTCTAGAATCCATTTCTTCAGTCCTTCCAATGACTCAAGGCAGTATCTGTATATCTGAAGAAATTCCTGGTTTAAACCAGCTAGAGTAGACTCTGTTGCCTGTAACCAAGAACCCTGAATTATATACTAGTGCCTTAATTCTGTCCAATACAAGGTGACAGAGTTTGGATATATGTCCCCGCCCAAATATCATGTGGAATTGTAATCCCCAATGTTGGAGGTGGGGCCTGGTGGGAGATGATTGGATCATGCGGGTGGATTTCTCATGAATGCTTGATGCTGTCCTCACGATAGTGAGTTCTCATGAGATCTGGTTGTTTAAAAGTGTGTGGCACTTCCCCACACCTACTCCTGCTTTCCCCATGGGACACACCTGCTCCCCATTCACCTTCTCCACGATTGTAAGTTTCCTGAGGCCTCTTCAGAAGCCAAGCAGATGCTGCTATGCTTCCTGTACAGCCCACACAACCATGAGACAATTAAACCTCTTTTCTTTATAAATTACCCGGTCTCAGGTATTTCTTTATAGCAAGGCGAGAATGGCCTACTATACAAGGTAAGTGGAAGTTTGCTGGTACTGTCTCTTCTACTTCTTTATTTTAATGACTAAGATAAACAGCATAAGGTATTTAGTGTAAACTGAGCACAAATAAGGCAGCCAGTAATGGTAGCTACTATATTGATTACTCTTTGTGACTTTCTCTATTTATGACTCGGATGCCTTCCAGGACCTCTTGCTTAGTGGGGTTCCTGGCTGAAGGCAAAGAGTGTGAAGAGCCAGGTACTTCCCTGGAAACTTGAAGGCCAAACATGCAGCTGCTGATGGAATGTGGCTGGGGCCCTGTGTATGGCATGTTAAACATTTACCCCAGGTTTTATATCTCCCTGTCTTTTTAAAGCATTTACTTCCACTGGCTCTTTGTGTTAACCGGTCACATAGTTTAAGTTGATTTAGCAGCAATGAGTATTGGGAAGGTTAATAAAACCACACCTCAGACTGCCTGTTTTGTTCAGCTGTGGAGCCAACGGGTGGTGGACAAGTGTTTGTTCACAATGAGATGGAATTCTAGCTTTGTCCTTGACCAATTTTGTTTTCTTTCTCCGTTTTATTTTTTATCATAAAAGCAATGCAGTTTTTCTGATAGCACATTCAGATAATATCCAATGTATTAAGCAAAAGTGAAAATCCACACCCCCCTCTACAACTGATCTTCTGGAAATAATGTCTGGTGTAAGTCTGCAGTGAAGCAAATCTTGCTTGATTGTTCACTAACGTGTTCCTTAAAATCTTTTACCTTGGGCCTGGCATGGTAGCTCACATCTGTAATCCCAGCACTTTGGGAGGCTGAGATGGGAGGAGCACTTGAAGATAGGAGTTTGAGACGAGCCTGAGCAACATAGTGAGACCCTGTTTCTGCAAAAAATAAAAAATTAGCCAGGTGTAGAGGTGCCCACCTATAGTCCCAGCTACTCAGGAGGCTGAGGTGGGAGGATCTCTTGAGCCCAGGAGTTTGAGGCTGCAGTGAGCCAAGATCGCGCCATTGCACTCCAGCCTGGGCAACAGAGCACGACCCTGTCTCTGAAAAAGAAAAAAAAAATCTTTTACCACAAGGCCTCAAATTCCACTGTTTCTGACACCCTCTCTTCATGGATTCTCATCTGGATTCTCTACCACCCCCTACTTAACTGCCTCCAAATCACTACCAGTGTCTTCTATAAGTGTTTCTTCCATCTGGGGCAGGAGTCATCTCAGGGTCTCTCTTTCCTTCCCAACTTCCCTTCCCCTTCCTTCTTTGGCAACTTTAACATCTGTATTCTCAGCTCACTGCATGCCGTCAGCACTCATGTCCTCACCTCATGGCCTTGCTGGGCCCCAGAGCTTGTGCAGGGCTCTATGTGTGTTCCTTCTCCCTGCTCCATCCTCACAGTGTCTCTAGATATCAGCGCCTCTGGCTTTACCTCTTCCATCCACCCTCAGCTCCCTGCCCTGCTGCATCCACACTGCCCTGACCCCTACCGAGGTGACCCCTACCTATGACCTTTGCCCTCTGCAAAGTCCACTCTGGGTCCTCTCATGGTCTGCTTCCTCAGCATCCACTTTAGGGTACAGGCACTCATGGAGAAAATGCAGAGAACTAAGAATTCCTAATGCTTGGTTTCCTGAGAACCCCTGATGTGATCCCGGAAGTCTTCCAGCGGTTCTGGCCCAGTGGCTGCAATAACTCTTCTCCACTTGTGTCAGATACTCACTGCTGTCACAGCATCCCTGGCCTCGTGAGAAGGCCTTGCATCTGAGAGGAGCCAGGAATCGTACCAGGGCTTTCTTACCATCCTGCTCACACCTATATACTCCTTAGAACATGAACATCTTGGATCAGACACCTCGTAAGCACTGCCTCAGCTCCTTTCAGCCACACCTGTCTTTGATTCCAGCCGCCACTGTAGTGACAGTTCTGCCATGAGCCTGACCAGCTGCATGTAGAACTAACTTGCAAGCACCTCTCACCTCCCATCCGAAGCCTTCTCTGTCATCTCTGCAGCCTGGGACAGACACTGCAAACACTCCTTAGTAGTCTCATGAATGCAACCTGAAGTTCCGGGGACTTAATGCCTCCATGGAGTGATCCTTTGACCAATGGGGGATTCCTCCTTTCTCAATCCAGGCAGACAGTCCTGAGATGCGTGCCTTGTGGCTTCTCAGGTGGTTCACAGAATCAAGCAGTAACTTACCTTGCGCTGCCCCTCACCGCTTCCCTCTCCCTCACTCTTGCTTCTAGGGATAGCAGTTCCCAATACAGTGCTTGCATATATGTATATATATGCTTTTCTGATGTTCTACTCTCTGGGAAAATCAGGCTAAGCCACATTCTTTCTTCTTTCCAGATTCTAAAATAAATTCTTCTACCTGTGAGCTAAAAGCAGCCCTTCCCAACTCCTGCGTTTCTTCTCTAGTGATGGCCTCATCTCTTCCAATAAGTAGAATCTTGATCTTGATAGTTTTAAGAAATGTATCCTTAGAGCTTCGAAAATCCCTCTTTTCAGAGTACCCCTCATATGGAATTACCTCCATAAAATGATGGGAAGAATACCTGAAGCATCGAAGTGATATCTTCAGTCCCTTAGATGGTTTTTAAAGAACTAAAGTAGTCATCATACATCATCTTAGTGGCGACATTACCCATGGGCTTATCTGAATCTACAAAGCAGCGGAGTCCCTCTCACTTCATGATAGTTACAGCACATACGATTAGCAGAGAATAACAAAGGCATGATATGATACAGATGTTGGGCAGCTAGCGAGGCATGCTCTCCAAATAAGTGACTCACTCTTGTGCGGCAGTTCCTCAGCGGATGTGATTCCAGTGTGTGCCTTGGCAAAATTTAGAAATTACAACATGGTTTGGCCCATAGAGGTTGATGACAAATGGTAAGAACCATAGAGATTAAAGCATAAATATCAGGAATATCCTGTACTTTCTATCTCTTAATCCCTGCTGTCTGTTCTTTGGACTTCAGATGTGCAAGGCCTCCTCATTTTGAAATGCAGAAAGTGTCACTTGACTCTGTAGTGCCACTTAGGTGTCATTTCACTGTTGCACAGATCTACTGGAACTTCACTCTCCAAGTCCTCTCACAACTTGCTTGGCCTTACTGTACTTCTCTTATTTGTGGTACCTGACTATTAGCCAACCTTTCCTTGGTCTTCCACTGTCATGCATGATTCTATAACTTTTTCCTGGTGCTTATAATATTATTTTACTGGTCACATCCTTTCTATCTCTCTCTCTCTCTCTCTCCCCTTTGGGCTCTTCTTTCTCTCTCTCTTTTTTTTTTTTTGAGGTGGAGTCTCCTTCTGTCGCTCAGACTGGAGTGCAGTGGCACCATCTCAGCTCACTGCAACCTCCACTTTCCAGGTTCAAGCGATTCTCCTGCCTCAGCCTCCCGAGTAGCTGGGATTCCAGGCAAGCACCACCACACCCAGCTAATTTTTGTATTTTTAGTAGAGACGGGTTTTTGCCATGTTGGCCAGGCTGGTCTTGAACTCCTGACCTCAAAGTGATCCACCCGCCTCGGCCTCCCAAAGTGCTGGGATTACAGGTGTGAGCCATGGCACCTGGCCTATTTTTCTTTTCTTGAGCAGCACCTAAAGTGTTGTCCTTAACCCTGCTCTTCTTCATGAGTTCTAGTCACTTGTTTCAGTTATATGAAGGTCACCCCCGCTTGGAGAATAAACTCAACACAGACTATTAGAAATAAGAGGGCTGTCTTATTGACACTTACTTGTAATCTATCCTCAGTTTGAATGCTTCCAGAGATGAAAGGCTTGCCTCCTCACACAGCAGCATTTTTTTCATTTTTGGAGAGCTCTATTATGTAAAATAATTTCTTATGTATGGCTAAATCTGTCTCCTGGGAATTTTGAGACATTGGCTGTTTTTCCGCCCTTAAGAGTAACACTGAAAAATCTTCCCTCTTCTTTCTGATAACACTTAGCAATGCTCTTTTGGCTCCTGTGAAGCTTTTCTGAGTCCCAAAGTCTCTCAGACCCCAAGCCTTAGAAACATTTTGACTCTTCCTTCTTTAATCCAAGAGCCAACAAATCATCAAATACTGGAAATTGTAGTTTGAAATTTCTCCTGCAGAAAAAGCACATTTCAATGTGTAATAATTAAAATTATAGAAATAATAACTTATTCTTTTTTGAGACAGGGTCTCGCTCTGTCACCCAGGCTGGAGTGCAGTGGTGCGATCTCCGCTCAGTGTAGCCTCGACCTCCTAGGCTCAAGCAATCCTCCCATTTCAGCCTTCCAAGTAGCTGGACCCACAGGCATGCACCACCATGCTCAGCTAATTTTTATACTTTTTTTGTAGAAGCAGAGTTTTGCTATGTTACCCATAGTGGTCTCAGACTCCTGAGCTCAAGCAATCAGCCTGCCTCAGCCTTCCAAAGTGCTGGGATTTCAGGTGCGAGCCACTGTGCCCAGCCAGCAATAAATAACAACTTCTCTCAACTTAATTTAGAGAGCTAATTCAATAGTGATTTTAAAAATCCAATGGAAATTGATACAAATATCGAAGGAGTTGATACAAGTATTCTGAAGTTCAATGAGATAATAAAGAAAATATTCAAAATATGAAGAATAATAAGGGGGGATTAGTCATTTGACTTATTAAAACAAAATGATACTTTGGTAGGTTGATGTGGGTGGATCACTTGAGACCAGGAGTTCAAGACCAACCTGGCCAACATGGCAAAACCCTGTCTCTACTAAAAATTCAAAAATTGGCTTGGTGTGGTGGCATGCACCTGGTACCGCAGCCATTTGGGAGGCTGAGGCACTAGAATCCTTGAACCAGGAGTTGGAGGTGGCAATGAGCTGAGATCCACCACTGAACTGCAGCCTGGGCAATAGAGCAAGGCTCTGTCAAAAAAAACAAAAAACAAAAAACAAAACAAAAAAAACCCACCAAAACACAAAAATCAAAATGGCAGTCACTGAAATAGTGCAGTACTGACATGAACAGAGACAGACTGTAACCACAGGTGGCGGTGCACACCTGTAGTCTCAGCTATTTGGGATAATCACTGGAGCCCAAGAGCTCGAGGCCAGCCTGAACAACACAGTGAGACCCTGTGTCTGAAAAATGTTGTTTTGAATTGATATATAAAAGAAGAAAATATATATTACTGAGGAGATTAAGGATTACTCAGCAATAATTTGGAATCACTGGCTATGAATTTGGAGGAAAATGCAAATATAGATTGTCACTATATATGGAATGAAGTCTGTATGGGATTAATAAATTCTTAAAAATAAAATCATAGGAAAATGAGGTAAAAATTAATTGAATAGTAAATAAACTTTTAAGATAAGAAGTACAGGTTAAGTTTCCCTTATCCAAAATATTTGGGACCAGAAGTGTTTTGGATTTCAGATGCTCTTTGGATTTTGAAATATTTGCATGTACATAATGAGAGATATAAGGGGATGGGGCCCAAATCTAAACAGGACATTTATTTATGTTTCAAATACACCTGATACACATAGCCTGAAAGTTATTTTATACAATATTTAAAATAATGTTTTGCATGAAACACAGTTTGTATACATTGAACCATCTGAAAGCAAGTGTCACTATCTCAGCCACCCGTGTGGGCATTGCTGTTTGGTATCACTGTTATTCCAGACTCTGAATATATATGCTAGTGATAAAAATCATTTTTGGCCAGGTGCGGTGGCTCACGCCTGTAATCCCAGCACTTTGGGAGGCTGAGGAGGGCAGATCATGAGGTCAGGAGATCAAGACCATCCTGGCTAACATGGTAAAACCCCATCTCTACTAAAAATACAAAAAATTAGCCAGGCGTGGTGGCACGGGCCTATAATCCCAGCTACTTGGGAGGTTGAGGCAGGAGAATCACTTGAACCCAGGAGGTGGAGGTTGCAGTGAGCCAAGATCATGCCACTGCACTCCAGCCTGGGCGACAGAGCGAGACTCTGTCTTAAAAATAAATAAATAAATAAATAAATAAATAAATAAATAAATAAATAAATAAAAATCATTTTCTTACACTTATTTGCATGAGTACTGATCAGTAGAAAATATGGCATGCCATCCAGTACCATTCAGGACCACATGGGCAAGGACTTCATGACTAAAACACTGAAAGCAATGGCAACAAAAGCCAAAATAGACAAATGGGACCTAATTAAACAAAGAGCTTCTGCACAGCAAAAGAAACTACCATGAGACTGAACAGGCAACCTACAGAATGGGAGAAAATTTTGCAATCTACCCATCTGACAAAGGGCTAATATCCAGAATCTACAAAGAACTCAAAAAAATTTACAAGAAAAAAACAAGCAACCACATCAAAAAGTGGGCAAAGGATATGAACAGACACTTCTCAAAAGAAGACATTTATGCAGCCAGCAGACACATGATGATGTGCTCATCATCACTGGTCATCAGAGAAATGCAAATCAAAACCACAATGGGATACCATATCACACCAGTTAGAAATGCAATCATTAAAAAGTCAGGAAACAACAGATGCTGGAGAGGATGTGGAGAAATAGGAAAGCTTTTACACTGTCGGTGGGAGTGTAAATTAGTTCAACCATTGTGGAAGACAGTGTGGTGATTCCTAAAGGATCTAGAACTAGAATTATCATTTGACCCAGCAATCCCATTACTGGGTATATACCCAAAGGATTGTAAATCATGCTACTATAAAGACACATGCACACGTATGTTTATTGTGGCACTATTCACAATAGCAAAGACTTGGAACCAACCCGAATGTCCATCAGTGATAGACTGGATTAAGAAAATATGGCACATATACACCGTGGAATACTATGCAGCCATAAAAAAGGATGAGTTCATGCCCTTTGCAGGGACATGGATGAAGCTAGAAACCATCATTCTGAGCAAACTATCGCAAGGACAGAAAACCATACACTGCATGTTCTCACTCATAGATGGGAACTGAACAATGAGATCACTTGGACACAGGGTGGGGAACATCACGCACTGGGGCCTGTCAGGGGGTGGGGGGTTGGGGGAGGGATAGCATTAGGAGAAATACCTAATGTAAATGATGACTTGATGGGTGTAGAAAACCAACATGGCACATGTATACCTATGTACCAAACCTGCAAGTTGTGCACATGTACCCTAGAACTTAAAGTATAATAAAAAGTAAATAAATAAAACATGGAATGCCATCAATGCAGTGAAAACATAATGTGTTCAGGGCAACCAAGCTGCTCAGTAGCATCCCTGGAATAGCTGAATCAGCTGCTTAACAGCAGTAGCAACAAACAACAGCAGGTTTTCAGGCTCCACCTACGATGCTGTGTTTTGATGAAAAGGTTACTGTGCACTGTATTTTATTTTTTTAGATGAGAAGAAACTTCAGAAGCAATTGAGAGACCAGGAAGTGGGTCCTCTGGGGCTCAGGAGGCATTCTGATGGATGGCTTTTAAAGATGTTTCCTCCAGAATCAACTGCCTCGTTAAAGCATAAATGTCAAGCGTAAATTGTTCTTGTCTTAGAAGTCTCTCTTTGACTTTATAAACCTGATATGATTTATTGTTCTGTTATGAATGCGTGGTGCTCTAGTCCTTCAATGAGCCCATCACACGTTTTCATTATGTCGTCTAGAGGCAATTTTTCTGCAGTGTTAACTATGTTATCTTCAGCATTGTGCACCTGCATTTTGACTGCGACCCATCACACGAGGTCAGGTGAGAAATCTTCCACTTGTGGCATCATGTTGGTGCTTAAAATTTTCAGATTTTGGAGTATTTTGGATGTGAAATTTTAAGATTAGGGATGCTCAGCCTGTCATAGATGGTGCAGCCACCTCGGAAAACAGTCTGACAGTTCCTTGAAAGGTTAAAGATAGAGTTACCATATGACCAGGCAATTCCACTGGGAGGTATGTACCCAAGAGAAGTGAAATACATGTTCACACAAAAACTTGTACATGAATGTTCATAGCAACATTATTCATCATACCCCAAAGTGGTGACAACCCATGTCCATCAACTGATGAATAGATAAATAAAATGTGGTATATCCACACAATGGAATATTATTCAGCACCGAAAAAGAATGATGTACTGATACATACTGCCACATGGATAAACCTTGAAACATTATCTAAGTGCAAAATGCCAGTGTGAAAGCACCACATATGGTATGATTTCATTTATATGAAATGTCCAGAATAGGAAAATCCATAGAGACAGAAAATAGATTGGTGATTTCCTAGGGCTGGAGGTGAGATGAAATGGGGAATGACTGCTAATGGGCATGGGTTTATTTTTGGGGTGATGAAAAGCTTCTAAAATTGATTGTGGTGATGGTTACACAATTCTGTGAATACACTAAAACCAACGAAGTTTGCACTTTACATGGGTGAATTGTGTAGTATTTGAATTATGTCTCATTAAAGCTGTAAAGAAGAAGTAATTGAAGAAATCAGAAAGGAAATGTATTAGATAAACAGAACTGATAGGCTATATATAGATGTAAAGAAAGGGATTTATTATGAGGGATTAGCTCACATAATTGTGGAGGCTGAGAAGTCCCTCCATCTGCCATTTGGAAGTTGAAGGTCCAGGAAAGCCAGTGGTATAGTTTCAGTCCCAGCCCAAAAGCCTGAGACCCAGAGGAACCAATGATGTGAGTCTAAGTCTGAGCCCAAAGACCCGAGAAGCTGGAGAGCTGATGTCCAAGGGCAGAAGAAGACGGATGTCCCAGCTGAAGCAGAGAGAGCCAATTCACCCTTCCTCCATCAGCTATTTGCTTGTTAATCCTGATTGTGCAAATAGCTCAGTGTGCAAAATATATGTCTAAGAGGGAGAGGAGGCTGGGCGCGGTGGCTCACGCCTGTAATCCCAACACTTTGGGAGGCCGAGGCGGGCGGATCACGAGGTCAGGAGATCGAGACCATCCTGACTAACACGGTGAAACCCTGTCTCTAATAAAAATACAAAAAATTAGCTGGGCATGGTGGTGGGCGCCTATAGTCCCAGCTACTCGGGAGGCTGAGGCAGGAGAATGGCGTGAACCCGGGAGGCGGAGCTTGCAGTAAGCCGAGATCGTGCCACTGCACTCCAGCCTGGGCAACAGAGCGAGACTCCGTCTCAAAAAAAAAAAAAAAAAAAAAAAAGACGGAGAGGACACACAGGAGATCTGGGCGACGAACTAGCTCTGTTATTTAAACAACCATTGTAAAAGTTGTTTATGTATCCAGGTGGAGAGCCACTGATGAGGGAACTTGCTGGGCTTAGTTTCTGAGTCTCCACCAAACCTGTGCCTTCTGCTAAGCTGGGGATCTGCTAGCTGCCTACTAAAGGACGGGTGCCTGGAATCCACTGACAGTTTCACATACGGTGTGTTCTGGGGCATCAGCCACCTAGCTGGGGAGAGGGCCCTGGCTCAGAAGACTATGAGGGTGCACAGGAATAACTGGGGCTCCGTCACCCAAGGGAGGGTGCCTGTAGGACTCAGTTTAAGGGACAGTTTCAACCTCCTGGTGCCATCTTTCACTTATGTCCCACACTTCCAGTTAGTCTTGTGCCTCATCTAAATAACCACACCCTGATATTTGCCAAACTGGACCATGAGCATCCCCTCAGATTCTGCTTCAAACCATAGCTGAGCAGGCAACTCCGTATAGGCCCCAAGGCATGTGTATTTCTGATCAAGTCCTCCACCTACTGGTGACACTTGATTCTCACGTCCCTAGGGTTTACCAACAACACTTGTCTTTCCAGACTGTTCTATTAGAGTGTATGCTGACACTCCTCCATAACGACAACAACAAAAAATTAATGCCTGTTAGAGGCGCTATCCATGAAGCAGCAACAGGAGACTGACTGCTTTTGCTATGAGCCAGAGTCTGATGTGATAAAACCAGAAACAAAAACCAGCCTCTTGTCTTGGTGAAAAAGGGGGCCACTAGGCAAAAGGATGGCGAGAAAGGCCACCTGCATTCCTCATTCAAATTCTTCCTCATTCCTTGATTTCTCTCAACAGGTAGCCATCAAATCTGAGATTCGGTGTTGTTATAAATCTCTTCAAGAATATTGGGGAAGAGGCTGGGCATGGTGGCTCACGCCTGCACTTTGCGCCTCCCAGCACTTTGGGAGGCTGAGGAGGGCAGATCATGAGGTCAGGAGTTCAAGACCAGCCTGGTCAACATGGTGAAAACCCGTCTTCTACTAAAAATACATAAATTAGCTGCGTGTGGTGGCAGGAGCCTGTAATCCCAGCTACTTGGGAGGCTGAGGCAGGAGAATAGCTTGAACCCGGGAGGCGAAGTTTGCAGTGAGCTGAGATCATGCCACTGCACTTCAGCCTGGGAAACAGAGTGAGACTCCATCTTAGAAAAAAAAAAAAGGACTATTGGGGAAAAAATAGCAAACCCTGGACATTTCAGATCACTAAACTACCCCTTGTGTGACTTGCCCAAAATAATGTTATTACAAACTCATGGAATATTACTGGCTTTAGGCGATGACACAGTTGCAGTAATGTTCTGATTTGATTATTCAGAAATGAAATTTATGGTTTAAATTTCATCCAGGATTTATAGAATTTAAAAAAGTTATTCTTCAGTATTTGAAATACCACTTTGCCAAAGCAGAAAAGCCATAAATGTGTTAAACTGGCTAAGAAAATTAAGATGGCAGTAATACATTTTCTAATAAAAATCATAGCATAATAGCAAAATTACTGCGGAAAACCACAGTTATTGTGGCAAAGACATAAAATGTTACAGCTGCAATAATATGCTATTTGTTTTGGCAGGAGAATAAGAATACTGTACATTGCAGTTTTTCAATATTGGAAAAACATAAAAAGAAAATACTATAAACTTAAAAGACTATTTTTTAAAAATGAAGAAGTGCATGAATGATTTTAAATTTTGAGCATATAAAAGAGTCTTGCTGCAAAGTCTATTGAACTCCTGAGAAGACTCTGTTTTGCTGTTTCTGATTTGCCAGTATCCTACCAGAAAACTATGCCTCCCAATAGAAAAAGAACACATAATCCTGTCTGTATTTGAGGGTTCAAGCCTGGAGATTCCGCCCCCTTGGTCGGTTGATTTTTATTGGAAACCCAAGATGCACCTGCCTGTGGAATGCATTTCAGAATGTGGAAGTACAGCAGGAAGAAAGCAGACAAGAACACAATCCCATGGTATTCTTGGTTAGGGACAGCTTGGGGGTCAGTGGGGGAGACATACACAGATTAAATGATTAATAGAGTAATTCAGCTTATTTACATTAGTCTGGTTTTTTACATGAGGGGCTCACAAATTCTTAATTTGTCCTTTCTTTATTATATTTTTCTTTTTTGCTATCTTTCAATATTGATTATCCATTTCTTCCCTTAATTACTAGACTTTCTGAACTTTTAAAAACATATATCTTCCAACTGGAAAGTATCTGTCCCTTATAACAACTACCAGTACTACTCATAAAACAACAAAAACCCATATAGCACTTAATAAGTGTCAGTCAGTATTTTAAACAGTTTATGCATATTATTCATTTAATCCTCTCAATGACCCTGTGAGAAGGTGCCATTATTCTCCTTATTTTTCATACGTGGAAAGTAAAGAGTAGGGAGAAACTGTCCAAGCTCACACAGCTAGTAAGTCATAGAGCTGAGACTGGAACCCAGATAGCCTGGCCCCAGAGTCCTTCACTATTCTGAATTTATAAAGATATTTTTGATATTTTCTTCCCAAAGTTTTAAAGCTTTCCTTTTCACATTGGAGTTTTAAATCTATCTATAATTAATTTTGAGTATGGCATGATTTAGGTATAACTTTTTATATGAAAAACTAATTTTCCCAGTTCTATTTATTGATATGCAAATATAAAATGTCTCTCTTTCTCTCTCTATATATATATCTGAGGTTGTTTTTGAGTGCTTTATATTCTTGCTTTGGTCTGAAAATTCACAGGTTGAAATTCTAACTCTTGAGACGATGGTATTAGAAAGCAGGGCCTTTGGAAGGCGATTACGTCATAAGGGTAGAGCCTTCAGGAATGGGACTTAGTGCCCTTAGAAGAAGCTGAGAGACCAGCGTTTTCTCTCTTCCATCATGTGAGGACACAGCAAGAAGGCACCATCTATGAACCAGAAAGTGCCCCTCACCAGACATCAAATCTGCTGGCACCTTGATCTTGAACTTCCAGCCTTTAGAACCATGAGGAATAAATGTCTGTTTTTATAAGTCATCCAATAGGTGATGTTTTGTTATAGGGCCTGAGTAGTCTTAGACAGTTACAGATGATTCGCTCTCACTGACTGTTGAATATTATTCTAAGTGTGGATATTACACAATTTATTTACCCATTCTACTATTTTAATTTTATTTTTTTTAATGTTTGAGACAGGATCTTGGTCTGTCACCCAGGCTAGAGTGCAGTGGCACAATCATGGTTCACTGTATCCTCCAACTTCTGGGCTTAAGGGTTCCTACCACCTCAACCTCCTGAGTAGCTGGGACTACAAGAATATGCCAACATGCCCAGCTAATTTTTCATCTTTAAAAAAAAATTATTTTGTAGAGTGGGATCTCACTATGTTGCCCAGGCTAATCTTGAACTCCTGGGCTCAAGCGATCCTTCTGCCTTGGCCTCCTAAAGTGCTGGGATTATAGGCGTGAGCCACTGTACCTAGTCCCATTCTACTATAGATGGGCATGTGGGTTGTATCCAGTTCTTTTACTATTATAAATAGTGAAGCCATGAACATTCTCCTAAATGTGTTTTGGTGAACATGTATATACATTTCTGTTGAGTATACATCCAAGATTGAAATTGCTGGGTCACAGACTACACATATGTTTCTGCTTTAGTAGATGTCGCCTGACAGTTTTCTAAGGTGGGTGGGCCATTTTACACCCCGACCAGTAGTATATGAGGGTCCCCGTTGTTCCTCACTCTTGCCCACACTTGATAGTGTCTTCTTCCCTTTAGTCATTCTTGTGTACACAATTGTGGTCCTAGGTGACATTTTCTTGATAACTATTTGAAGGCTATCTTCTTTGTGTGGTGACATAATTGCTCATAATTCTGCCCATTTTTTTCTTTTGGGTTGTCTGACATTTAATACAAATCTCTTTGTAGGAGTTCGTTATATAATCTGAATGAGTCCTTTGTTGAATACATGTATTTTAAATATATTCTCCCACTCTGTGGCTTAACTTTTCACTCTTAACACTGTCTTTTGATGAACAAAAGTTTTTAATCTTTTTTATTTTTTGAGACAGAGTTTCACTCTTGTTGCCTGGGGTGGAGTGCAATGGAGTGATCTCAGCTCACCACAAACTCTGCCTCCCAGGTTCAAGTGATTCTCCTGCCTCAGCCTCCTGAGTAGCTAGGATTACAGGCGTGCGCCATCATGCTCGGCTAATTTTGTGTTTTTAGTAGAGATGGAGTTTTTCCATGTTGGTCAGGATGGTCTCAAACTCCCGACCTCAGGTGATCCACCTCCCTTGGCCTCCCAAAGTGCTGGGATTACAGGCATGAGCTGCTGCGCCTGGCCGAAAGTTTTTAATATTAATGTGTTTTAATTTACTTATTTTTTCTCTATGATTATCACATTTTTTGTGTTGGTTAAATAGACCTTTGGCTACTTCAGTTTCATGAAAATATTTTCCCATGCTCTATCACAAAAGTTTTACTGTTTTATTAAGTTAAACCATATGAAATTACTAATAGTCAACTTAAAAAATAGGAGTTTCATATGGTTTAACCCAATACATTTAATCTATGATCTGTCTGGAATTGATTTTCATCTTTGGTGTGAGTCAGGGGTCAAGATTTTAAACAAATTTAATTGTCTGATTGTCAATTTCTTATGAATTGGATGACTGTATATATGTGGATCTGTTTCTCAACTCACCATTCTGTTCTATTGTTTTTTTTCATTCTTGTACCGATACCTTACTGTCTTGGCCACTAGAGTTTTATGATAGGTCTTTTATAAATTTTAATAGCTCCGAAGTGTTCTTCAAGATTGCCTTAGCTACTCTTAGCCCACTATGTTTCCATTTAATTTTAGAATCTCTTGTTTTAGAATTATTGCTTTATATATATTTAAGTTGACATGTAATAATTGTACACATTTATGGGGCACATAGTGATGTTTTGGTACATATAAAGTATAGTGATCAGAATAACAAGAATTAGCATATCCATCATTTCAAACATTTATCATTCGTTTGTATGGGGGACATTTGATATCCTCCTTCTAGCTGTTTGAAACCACATATTATTTTTGACTACAGTCATCCTACAATGGTATAGAACACTGGAACTTATTCCTCCTTGACGCTATTTTATATGATGCCCTCTACTCTAGAATTGTTGTTCTAAACAACAGAATGTTAGTTACTCTCTTTTCTAGATAATCAGAATGTTAGTTACCCTCTTTATTGTTATTTTGTCTAAAATTGATGTGGCGATCCTAGATTTTTTTTTTGGTTCCTATTTGTCTGGTATATCTTTATTCATCACTTTATTCCCTTGTCCTCCATATGTTTTGGATTATCTTTTATAAATAGAATGTAACTGATTTTTTTTCTTTTTGAGACAGAGTCTCGCACTTTCCCCCAGGCTGGAGTGCAGTGGGACGATCTTGGCTCACTGCAACCTCCGCCTCCTGGGTTCAAGCGATTCTCCTGCCTCAGCCTCCTGAGTAGCCGGGATTACAGGAGCCCACCACCACCCCCAGCATTTTTTTTAGTATTTTTAGTAGAGACTGGGTTTCACCATGTTGGCCAGGCTGGTTTCGATCTCCTGACCGCATGATCTGCCTGCCTCAGCCTCCCAAAGTGCTGGGACCACAGGCGTGAGCCACCGCGCCCGGCCTTTTTTTTTTTTTTGATGGAGTTTCGCAACCTCTGCCTCCCAGGTTCAAGCTCTTCTCCTGCCTCAGGCTCCCAAGTAGCTGGGATTACAGGCATGTGGCACCACGCCTGGCTAATTTTGTATTTTTAGTAGAGACAGGGTTTCTCCATGTTGGTCAGGATGGTCTCGAACTCCTGACTTCAGGTGATCTACCTGCCTTGGCCTCCCAAAGTGCTGGGATTACAGGCATGAGCCACTGCGCCCAGCCAAATATAACTGATTTTTAAATCTAATCTGTTTTTACTGTGGGAATTTGAGCCATTAATATTATTATGGTATATTTAGGTTTGTATTTATTATCTTACTCCATCATGAATTTTTTTTATCCCAATCACCTTCTTCATTTTAATTCTAAGCTTTCTGAGGTTTGTTTTGTGGAGATGGGGTCTTGCTGTGTCACTCAGACTGGAATGCAGTGGTGCAATCATAGCTCACTGCGGCCTCTAACTCCTCGGCTCAAGTGATCCTCCCACCTCGGCCTCCTGACTAGCTGGGACTACAAGTTGCATGCCACCACACTCAGTTAATTTTTAAATATTTTGTACTGATGAGGGTCTTGCTACGTTCATCAGGCTGGTCTCAAACTCCTGGTGTCAAGGGATTCTCCCACCTCGGCCTCCCAAAGTGCTGGGATTACAGGCGTGAGCCACCTTGCATGGCCAACAGGATCTCTTGATAGTATGTTTCCAAAAAAAAAAAAGATCATCAAATCAGAATACCACACAAGGAAGCTTTGCTAACATGAGCTTCTGTTCTTCGCCTATGGAATCTGACTGAGTCCATGGTGCTGGATTTGGTGAAGCGTTGGACAAAGGAGTCATCCTAGGTACATAAACAAGAGGAAAGTACAAGTGATAATGAGGGAAACAGCAAGTTCATCATGAACTACAGATAACCTCTACTTTCATTTCTTTTCCTGTCTAGCTTAGGTGGGTTCTGGTAATTCCCCTGGGAATGAAGTGCCCAATTCTTATTTCTTTTTTTTCCTTTTTCTTTTCTTGTCTTTTTTTTTTGAGACAGAGTCTTTCTCTGTCGCCGAGGCTGGAGTGCAGTGGCGCGATCTCGGCTCACTGCAAGCTCCGCCTCCCGGGTTCACACCATTCTCCTGCCTCAGCTTTCCCAGTAGCTGGGACTACAGGCGCCCGCCAGCACGCCCGGCTAATTTTTTTGTATTTTTAGTAGAGACGGGGTTTCACTGTGTTAGGCAGGATGGTCTCGATCTCCTGACTTCGTGATCCGCCCGCCTCGGCCTCCCAAAGTGCTGGGATTACAAGTGTGAGCCACCGCGCCCGGCCTGAAGTGCCCAATTGTATTTCTTTAAATTTACTGAAGTACAAAATTTAAGGTAGGAAGAAGATGATAAGAACTTTTCCTAGGAAAGTTTCAATGTGATCAGCCCAACAGTGAGATGGCTCTGTAAACATCCAATCCATGGTTACACGCCATTAGCTCAAGAAAAGAGATGAGAGCGTTGCTATTTCTTCCACTAGATGGCAATGTTTCTCTGCACACCAACCAGACACGCAGGCTCTCCCGCAAGGTAGCTAATGTCCCCTGGGAGGCGTCCCGGGCTGGCAGCACCTGCTTCCCGACCCAAGGAGCCACCTACGACGTGGTACAGGCTTCTACTTACCTGGAGGAAGGAGAGGTGCTGAGAGTCCCCTGAGCCTGTGATTAAGAACTAGGGAAGCAAGCGAGTCAAAGAGGAGGGAGGGTATTTCCAGCATGCAAGCCCTTCAGTGAAAATACACCCGAAGCGAATGCCTTTCCCAGGGGGTATCTTTGGACCTAATTCAGGATTTGAAATGGAGCTTTCTTTCCTTCTTCCTTTATCCACTTGCCTTGGAAAGCATCTGAATAATAGGCAGTGCTGCTTTAGGTCTGAGTATGACCCAGCTAGAGGTCAGTTCAATTTACAAGATGCTCAGTTTATGTCATTGCACCATTAAAAGTAGTTGCAAAACCATAATTACTTTTGCACCAACGTAATAATTAAAAAACAAACATCCCTCTACCCCCCAACTTCCCAGAACATTTCTTTTGGTATTGCCTGTTTTCATGGATAGATATGTTTGGAGACAAATGTTCAAAAAATCATTCTAACGCCTCAGTAGGTACAGAGAAGTATTTGGTAGGTACTGAAGAGGCACTGTCAGATTGTTGTATAATCATAGTGGATCATAAAAAAATGACACTGCCAACCCCCTATGTATAAAGGGGTTGTACTTTAGAATTTTTGGATCTCAAAATACATTTTCTAATTAAAATGTTTTACATGGCAGTTAGTTTTCCGAGTTAGCCCATAATATTACTTCCTATTTTATCATATTCCTTTATCATTTGAGCCATCTATGGTTATTATAAAAAATATAGACAAGGCACAATGGCTCACGCCTGTAATCCCAGCACTTTGGGAGGCTGAAGTTGGAGGATCATTTGAGGCCAGGAGTTTGAGACCAGCCTGGGCAACATAGTGAGTCTGGATCTCTACAAAAAAAAAAAAATTTTAAAGCTAGCCTGGCATGGTGGTATGGACCTGTAGTCCTAGCTACTCAGGTGGCTGAGGTGGAATGATCGCTTGAGCCCAGGAGTTTGAGGCTGCAGTGAGCTATGATCATGCCACTGCATTCCAGCCTAGGTGACATAGTGAGACTCTATCTCTATAAATAAATAAATAAATAAATAAATAAATAAATAAATAAATAAATAAAATAAAATAGAAATATATTATAATCTCCCCAAATTTCATCCCCAGATACAACCATTGTCAACATTTTTTTTTTTTTTTGAAATAGAAACAGTTTTATTTATTCCTTTCTGATCTATATGCCTTTTATTCTCTTTTCTTGCCTGATTAAACTGGCCAGAACTTCCAGCACTATGTTGAATAAGAGTGATGAGAGCACACATCCTTGTTTTGTTGCTGATATTAGGAACAAAGTATTCAGTCTTTACAATTAGGTATAATGTTAGCTGCAAGTTTTTCGTAGATGCTTTTTATCAAGTTGAAGTTTCTTTCTATTATTGTTTTTCAAAAAAACTTTTTATCATGAATAGGCATTTAATTTTGTTGAATGCTTTTTCTTTTACATCAGTTGATATGATCATCTAATTTTTCTCCTTCTTTTTTAGTCTGTTAACATAGTGAATTACATTGATTGCGCCAGCCTTATATTTCGGGAATGAACTCTAATTGGTGACTTTTTATATATTGCTAAATTCTATTTAGCAACAGAATACTTCTTTTTATATATTGCTAAGTTCTATTTCCTATTTTCTTAGAAATTTGGCATCTGTATTCATGAAAGATATTGTTCTGTAATATTCTTTTTTTGTACTGTCTTTGTCTGGTTTTGGTATGCAGGTAATACCAGCTTGATGAAATAAATTGGGGTGGGTTCCTTCCTATTTTATTTTCTGGAAAATATTTTGTAGAATTGAAGTAAATTCTTCTTTATTCTTTTTTATTCTCCAAAGACACCATTTAAGCCTGAAGATTTCTTTGTTAGGCGTTTTTTTTTTTTTTTTTTTTTTTTTTTTTTTTTTTTTTTTTTTTTTTTTTTTTATTATACTCTAAGTTTTAGGGTACATGTGCACATTGTGCAGGTTAGTTACATATGTATACATGTGCCATGCTGGTGCGCTGCACCCACTAATGTGTCATCTAGCATTAGGTATATCTCCCAATGCTATCCCTCCCCCCTCCCCCGACCCCACCACAGTCCCCAGAGTGTGATATTCCCCTTCCTGTGTCCATGTGATCTCATTGTTCAATTCCCACCTATGAGTGAGAATATGCGGTGTTTGGTTTTTTGTTCTTGCGATAGTTTACTGAGAATGATGGTTTCCAATTTCATCCATGTCCCTACAAAGGATATGAACTCATCATTTTTTATGGCTGCATAGTATTCCATGGTGTATATGTGCCACATTTTCTTAATCCAGTCTATCATTGTTGGACATTTGGGTTGGTTCCAAGTCTTTGCTATTGTGAATAGTGCCGCAATAAACATACGTGTGCATGTGTCTTTATAGCAGCATGATTTATACTCATTTGGGTATATACCCAGTAATGGGATGGCTGGGTCAAATGGTATTTCTAGTTCTAGATCCCTGAGGAATCGCCACACTGACTTCCACAATGGTTGAACTAGTTTACAGTCCCACCAACAGTGTAAAAGTGTTCCTATTTCTCCGCATCCTCTCCAGCACCTGTTGTTTCCTGACTTTTTAATGATTGCCATTCTAACTGGTGTGAGATGGTATCTCATTGTGGTTTTGATTTGCATTTCTCTGATGGCCAGTGATGATGAGCATTTCTTCATGTGTTTTTTGGCTGCATAAATGTCTTCTTTTGAGAAGTGTCTGTTCATGTCCTTCGCCCACTTTTTGATGGGGTTGTTTGTTTTTTTCTTGTAAATTTGTTTGAGTTCATTGTAGATTCTGGATATTAGCCCTTTGTCAGATGAGTAGGTTGCAAAAATTTTCTCCCATGTTGTAGGTTGCCTGTTCACTCTGATGGTAGTTTCTTTTGCTGTGCAGAAGCTCTTTAGTTTAATTAGATCCCATTTGTCAATTTTGTCTTTTGTTGCCATTGCTTTTGGTGTTTTGGACATGAAGTCCTTGCCCACGCCTATGTCCTGAATGGTAATGCCTAGGTTTTCTTCTAGGGTTTTTATGGTTTTAGGTTTAACGTTTAAATCTTTAATCCATCTTGAATTGATTTTTGTATAAGGTGTAAGGAAGGGATCCAGTTTCAGCTTTCTACATATGGCTAGCCAGTTTTCCCAGCACCATTTATTAAATAGGGAATCCTTTCCCCATTGCTTGTTTTTCTCAGGTTTGTCAAAGATCAGATAGTTGTAGATATGCGGCATTATTTCTGAGGGCTCTGTTCTGTTCCATTGATCTATATCTCTGTTTTGGTACCAGTACCATGCTGTTTTGGTTACTGTAGCCTTGTAGTATAGTTTGAAGTCAGGTAGTGTGATGCCTCCAGCTTTGTTCTTTTGGCTTAGGATTGACTTGGCAATGCGGGCTCTTTTTTGGTTCCATATGAACTTTAAAGTAGTTTTTTCCAATTCTGTGAAGAAAGTCATTGGTAGCTTGATGGGGATGGCATTGAATCTGTAAATTACCTTGGGCAGTATGGCCATTTTCACGATATTGATTCTTCCTACCCATGAGCATGGAATGTTCTTCCATTTGTTTGTCTCCTCTTTTATTTCCTTGAGCAGTGGTTTGTAGTTCTCCTTGAAGAGGTCCTTCACATCCCTTGTAAGTTGGATTCCTAGGTATTTTATTCTCTTTGAAGCAATTGTGAATGGGAGTTCACCCATGATCTGGCTCTCTGTTTGTCTGTTGTTGGTGTATAAGAATGCTTGTGATTTTTGTACATTGATTTTGTATCCTGAGACTTTGCTGAAGTTGCTTATCAGCTTAAGGAGATTTTGGGCTGAGACGATGGGGTTTTCTAGATAAACAATCATGTCGTCTGCAAACAGGGACAATTTGACTTCCTCTTTTCCTAATTGAATACCCTTTATTTCCTTCTCCTGCCTGATTGCCCTGGCCAGAACTTCCAACACTATGTTGAATAGGAGCGGTGAGAGAGGGCATCCCTGTTTTGTGCCGGTTTTCAAAGGGAATGCTTCCAGTTTTTGCCCATTCAGTATGATATTGGCTGTGGGTTTGTCATAGATAGCTCTTATTATTTTGAAATACGTCCCATCAATACCTAATTTATTGAGAGTTTTTAGCATGAAGGGTTGTTGAATTTTGTCAAAGGCTTTTTCTGCATCTATTGAGATAATCATGTGGTTTTTGTCTTTGGCTCTGTTTATATGCTGGATTACATTTATTGATTTGCGTATATTGAACCAGCCTTGCATCCCAGGGATGAAGCCCACTTGATCATGGTGGATAAGCTTTTTGATGTGCTGCTGGATTCGGTTTGCCAGTATTTTATTGAGGATTTTTGCATCAATGTTCATCAAGGATATTGGTCTAAAATTCTCTTTTTTGGTTGTGTCTCTGCCCGGCTTTGGTATCAGAATGATGCTGGCCTCATAAAATGAGTTAGGGAGGATTCCCTCTTTTTCTATTGATTGGAATAGTTTCAGAAGGAATGGTACCAGTTCCTCCATGTACCTCTGGTAGAATTCGGCTGTGAATCCATCTGGTCCTGGACTCTTTTTGGTTGGTAAACTATTGATTATTGCCACAATTTCAGAGCCTGTTATTGGTCTATTCAGAGATTCAACTTCTTCCTGGTTTAGTCTTGGGAGAGTGTATGTGTCGAGGAATGTATCCATTTCTTCTAGATTTTCTAGTTTATTTGTGTAGAGGTGTTTGTAGTATTCTCTGATGGTAGTTTGTATTTCTGTGGGATCGGTGGTGATATCCCCTTTATCATTTTTTATTGTGTCTATTTGATTCTTCTCTCTCTTTTTCTTTATTAGTCTTGCTAGCGGTCTATCAATTTTGTTGATCCTTTCAAAAAACCAGCTCCTGGATTCATTGATTTTTTGAAGGGTTTTTTGTGTCTCTATTTCCTTCAGTTCTGCTCTGATTTTAGTTATTTCTTGCCTTCTGCTAGCTTTTGAATGTGTTTGCTCTTGCTTTTCTAGTTCTTTTCTAGTACCAATATTTTTCTCTATGCATTACCAAAAAGTTGTCATAATTTTAAATTCTTCACAGCGACTAGGTGCTAAAGACTTTAGGTGACCTGACTTTAGGTGACTCCTCTTGTCTGTGTTCTGCTGTCACTGACCCAAGGCAGAGCAATTTTTTTCTTTTTTTTTTGAGAGAGAGTCTCGCTCTGTTCCCCAGGCTGGAGTGCAGTGGTGCAATTTCGGCTCACTGCAACCTCCACCTCCTGGGTTCAAGTGATTCTTGTGCTTCAGCCTCCTGAGTAGCTGGGACTACAGGTGTGTGCCACCACACCTGGCTAATTTTTTATATTTTAGTAGAGACAGGGCTTCCCCATATTGGCCAGGCTGGTCTCGAACTCCTGACCTCAGGTGATCCACCTTCCTCAGCCTCCCAAAGTGCTGGGATTACAGGCGTGAGCCACTGCGCCCGGCCGGCAGAGCAATTTTTACCTGTTCTCTGAAGATTTTCCAGCTCACTCCAGGCGACATGTTTTCTCCATTTCCTGACTGCCAGGGTGCTAGGGGGCATCATCACCAGGTTTTCAAGTATGTTCTGTGTTCTACGATGGTTTCCTGTTGTTAACCCTTTCATCTTACTATTTCTTTGAGAGTAGAAGCCATGCTTTAGTAAGTGCTTAATAACACCCAATAAATATTTGTCGACTAGTCCATTAGTTGAAGTCTAGCCCCCTAAGCCTCCGTTTTTCCCCAGGAAACTGTCAGTCCCCAACTCTGTTGCTTGCCTTCACAAGCTAATATCCACACTACAGAAAAGGACCAAAGAGGCAGGATTGGGCCCCAGATATGGATAAATCATTGTGGCCAGATATATCTCAGGACAAAAGTGGGAACTTGGTTTCTTGGTTTTGGAGAGCTCATTGGCTATAGAGTACTGCAAACATTTTTGTACTTAAGTGTCATTTTAAAGCTCAAGTTGGTTTCTCTACATGATATGGTCTTTTTCTCCCTACCTTGGGAAATTAGTGTTATTTTAAAAATGGTCTTAAAACATATTGATGCCCACTTGTTTTTCATAAGGAAATATGAAAAATGTTCAGACTTCACCAGTGGTTAAACAACGCAAATGGTGGCAACTTATATAATTAGCCAACCTGTTTTAAAACGAAATTTTGCTATGCTGGTGAGGTCTTGGCAAAGTGCTACATCCATATGTAGCCAGTTACAATGTAAGTTGGTTCAACCCTTTGAAAAGCAGGTAGCAATTCTGATCTAAGAACCATAAAAATGTTTATTTCTTTATTTTTGATCAAATAGTCCTAGGTTCTGGAATCTATCCTAGACAAAGCATCTAAAGGGAGTTGAATGCTCTGTGTTTGAAAATGTTCACTTTAATCTTTATTTTTAGCATGGAAAACTGGGAAACAAGCTACTAATAACTACCACTTGTCTGGCTCTGCAGTTCACAAGCAGCTGTCACATGTATCATTTCCTTTGATTTTACCGTGTCCCTGGGAAGTAGGTGCGGTTGTGACCCTTGCTTCATGGATGAAGAGACATGTTCAGAGTGGTTAAGATACACAGATCACACTGTTGGAATAAAAGCAGAACAAAGCTGAGGTTTTCTGATTCCAGGGGCTGATCGTGCAGTATGACATCCCTTTATATCTGTGTCTGGCAACAGGGTAAATGTTAACCCAGGAACGTGAGTGTAAGTATCTAGCATTAACATAATTATTTTGAAAGCAACATAGCAATATTAAAAAATACTAGGCTGAAAAAAAGTACAAAAAAATCACATATTTGCTGTAATTATTACATAAAATTAGATAGCCATCATACTTAAGGACTGGAAGGGAAGGGAAGAAATGAAAGTCATTGAGAGGTTTCCTTTCATTTTAGTACCACTGTGCTTATCATTTCATATTGCTGGGAACCATCTGGCACTCTTTGGCTCTTGAATGGAATCATAATTTTCTTAGGAAAAGTTATATATATAGAAACGCATTGCACCGGGTTGCACTCGCTTTGAGAACACTAAATATAAAATTTCCTGGAATTATAGATTCACAGAGTCACAAAGGCCTATGAGGGAAGGACCAGTGCTGGTGACAGAGAGAGGCTGAGCGCAGCAGTCCCCAGCCCATGTTCTGGCTGTTTCATCTCAATGACACTTGGGAAGCGAACCTTGTGTGGAGCATGGAGGGGTGGGACCTCCTTGTGAGGCTGACAAAAGAGGGCTGGGCTTGCCAAATGAAATCAGGCCTTGGGAGGGTGGAGGAGCCTCCATTGTCCTCAGCGCCAGTGATTAAATGCCGGATTACAGAGGAAACATTCTTTCCATCCTCCCCAGCCCCCAACCTCAGCCCATCAGGCCCATTCACAAGGCTCCTTCCCCCAAATATTGGCCACGGTGCCTTCTATTTATCACCCTCACAGAGGACACTACAACCCACACAAAGGGGCTTCAGGAGGCTAATGTAAACCAGGTAATAGAAGAAATCAAGAGCTGACACCTCAAAAATGCCACAGGGGCTGTGGGGCAAAGGAAAAGACATATGGTGTGAAAAGCACCTCCCAGACGCTGCTCCGCTCTCACGCTCTGCCTGTAGTTGGCACTCGGTTATTTTCTTGTACCTTCTACTGGCCAAGCACTCATGCCTTGCTGCACATCTAGCTAGTTTTCTCTCTTTTCCAGACGAGACATGTCATGTCGGGTAGCATCATTTGCAACAGCCTCGTCATCCAGCTGACATGGATATTTGGTTCTCCTTTGTTACTAAGGCCTTGCCTTTCCAGGAGCATCCACATAGACTCTGCCAGAATGTCATCAGACTAGGCTAGTATCTTGGGCTCAGCTTAATATTCTCTCAGCCTGACATATTGGATCACAGCAGTTAGGACAGAAATTTTGAAAGGTTGGGGAGAGAGCTGTATGGGAATAGTGCCTGGAATAAATAGATACAAACATTTTAGAACTACTGCATAGACCTAGATGTTCATCAAAGTATTCATTTGCTTTTTAAAAGGAAAATATTGTGAAGTGTCTTCCAAATAGGCAGTGAGTAAATACATGCTGCAGGTGGAATGAACGAGTGACTTAGGGAATCAGAACACAAACTGTCATGCCAGATTGCTTGGACTTTGTGACTTACTACCTAAGTGACCTTGAACAAGCTCAGTTTCCTTGTCTGAAAAGTGGAGATAATGGTGATGATAATGATGATAGTACTTGCCTCACAGGATTGAAAGCATTATGTAACAAGCTCTCAGATCATCATCTGTTACAGAATACATGCTGTAGGAAGTGTGAGCTACTATTATTATTATTACTTGCTTACAGCAAATAAATCCTAGAGGTGTATTAGCAGCACCAACTTTCCTACAGAGCCAAAGAATATAGAAATGCCAGTATGGAGAGGGATAATTCTGATTATTTCTTTTTTTTTTTTTTTTTTGAGACATAGTCTTGCTGTCTCCCAGGCTGGAGTGTGGTGGTGCAATCTCAGCTCACTGCAACCTCTGCCTCCTGGGTTTAAGCAACTCTACTGCCTCAGCCTCCCAAGTAGCTGGGACTACAGGCGCATGCCACCATGCCCAGCTAATTTTTTGTATTATAGTAGAGATGGGGTTTCACAGCGTTGCCCAGGCTGGTCTCGAACTCCTGAGCTCAGGTAATCTGCCCACCTCAGCCTCCCAAAGTGCTGGGATTACAGCCATGAGCCACTGCACCTGGCCCTGATTATCTCTTTATACTGTATGTCCTTAAGTACAATTCTTAAAGAAAATACTAGCACATAGAATTTAGAAGTTTATTAAAATGCAAAAATCATAGGAATGCAAGGATGGCTTGCTATTATGTTTATTATCATAATTTACTATATTAATAGGTAATGGAAGAAAAAACCCATAATTATAGTTTTGTGACCCAAAGAGCTTTTTTTGTCAAAATTTGACAATCATTTCTTCATTTTAAAAGTTTCAATTAGGAATAGATTCTGGACACAATAAATTAACATGTAAACACATATGCACGTATTAGTTGAAAAACCATCATGATGCTAAATGGCAAAATGCTAAAACCATTTTTTCCGTTATTAAAGACAATATTGGTCACCATGGAAACTATTTTTTTAATACTGTTCTAGGAGTACTGGCCAGTGCAATTAGATAAGAGGAAAAAAAGCTGTAAATATGGGGAAAAATTATTTGCAGATTACATCATTATATATCTCTAAAATCCATATAAATCAATTGAAAAGCTGTTAGAAATAATATGACTAAGTACCTGGTTATAAAGTTAGTTATACAAAAATTAATAGGCTTTTTCTGTACATAAATATAATGGGATGAATTGATCAATTTCAAGTCTGATTGGCTGGATGATTTTTTTTTCCTCTGCAAACCAGACCTTCTCTGCCTCTGAGCAGTGGTCTGTAACAGGATGAATTTCTGTTGGATCAGCTGAAGTGGTGGCTTGGGCAGTGAGGCAATTCTTCATCAAGACATACCTTTTTGTTGCTTCTAATTACCTGCTGGCAGGAACTAAAAGTGTGTCTCTTGTATGCATGCCATGTGTGTAAAATTAGAGTCTTTGAAATTGTTCAAATAAAGAGGATTAGTTATAGTTGTAGGGAGATATAAAGACTAAGCCAAAAGAAGCAGAGTTTATCTGCCTTCACACTTCACCCATCTGTTAACCCGGCTGAGACACATTTTCTTGTAGCATTAGTATTTTATGCACTGTTTTTCTTGATATAGTAACAGATTTAATTCATTCTTTATGGTAATAGATCCCTTGTATCCATAAAGAAAGAACATATTCCATCATTACCTTAATATCATGTCTAATACAGAGTGGCCGTACAATTGGAAAGTTATTTCTCAGACCACTAAACTTACACATAAATGTTAAACACTGTATATTACTTTTAAGCTTACTTTTGATCTGCTATCAAACCTAAGAAGTTGTTTTATTTTGATTAACTCTATATAATAGTTAATTTTTTTCCTCTAAAATGTGTTTTAAAGGCTGAAGCTGTATTTGACATCATTTTTAAAGCTATGTGATTTATTCTTTTTTATTCTCCACTGTCAAATATACATATTTGAAGATATGTA